>NC_000010.11:56809761-56961277 GCF_000001405.40 Homo sapiens
GATGGACAGTTAATTTGCTCCCATATCTTGGCTATTGTGAATAGTGCTGCAATAAACATGAGAGTGCAGATATCTCTTCGATATACTGATTTTATTTCTTTTGGATCTATGCCCAGCAGTGGAATTACTAGATCATATGATAGTTATATTTCTCATTTTTTGAGGAACCTCCATACTATTCTCCATAATGACTGTACTAATTTACATTTCTATCAACAGTGTACAATGGTCATCCTCATTGGTATTCCTTATTGCCTGTCTTTTGGAAAAAAGCCATTTTAACAAGGGTGAAATGACATGTCATTGTAGTTTTGATGCGCATTTCTCTGATGATTAGTGATATTGGCCATTTATATGTCTTCTTTTCAGAAATGTCTATTCAGACCTTGACCCATTTTTAAATTGGATTATTTAATTTTTTTCCTATTGTTTGAACTTCGTATACAATGTGGTTATTAATATCTTTTCAGATGGGTACTTTGCAAAAGGGTAAACTATGTATTTTAATGTATATGCGCTTTGCATGAGTTTTTCTCCTGCTTCAGATTTTTTCCTTCATATTAGCATCCAACAAATTTATATTTTTTTTATGAATCAATTGTTTTAGCACATTCACTCTGAAGCCTGCCCTGAATCCTCTTTCTGCTCTTATTGTGGGTTTTATATTCCTTATTAGAGATATTGACACATTGAATCTTTTGAGTAAGTAACCTTCTATGATGTTGCTACACATTTCAAAGGAAAAGGGAAAAATGTTATAGTGCCTTGAGCTAGCATATAATTTTGTTGAAAATTTACACATATTTTTATTGTGAAATGGAATTTTAAAACTTGTATTTAGTGACTGGTTATTGCTGGTATAAAGAAATGTTGTGTCAAACTATTTTTTCTAATATTAATGTGTTTTGTGAAATCTCACATTTTCTAGTTGTACAATCATATTCAAAGAGGCATCTCAATCTGCAGATATTAATAACTTCATTTTTACTAACAAATTCTTGATTATCAAGACAAATCAAAAGGAAATCTCTGAATATATCCAGGACTTAGAAGTATCCATACTGCTGTTATTCTCTCTGGGTATAAATCCTGATTCTGCTACTTGTCTGGTATGTTACCTGGGAAAGTTACGTAATTGCTTTTCACCTCTATTTCTTTATAGTGATTTTTTTTTAGGTTGGTATGAGTTTAAAATGAATTAAAACATGTGCTTAGAATAGTATATAGTATTATTTAGTTGTTATGTAAATAAAATACAGAAACATTCAAGTATATCTACAAATTTTATGTATTTTTAAATATATTCAACAAATATTGTTTAATTATTATTTCCACTACTGTTTAATTTATGAAAACTGTATTTTCTATATCTTGTTCTAGCTATAGGACAGGTTTATTTATTATATTTTGACTTTGGGGTTTCTATCTGTAGACTATGGATGTTAATGATACTTTCCTTATGGATTTGTATATAAAAAATAGGATAATGGTGGTAAAACACTAAGGAAGATTTTGAAATATTGTACATACCCGCTAGATGCTAGGTAATGCTGTTAACATAAATCAGTAATTGAATATATAATAAATATGATGTTTCATATAAAACTCACAGATTAATTACTAAGTGGCATTTCAGTAACTGACCAATCATTCATTAAAGATAAGTAAATAAGTTTGGTTTTCTGTCTTACATATTATATCAAAATATTTTATATGTAAAAGAGAAATCATTTTAATACAGTAAAAAATATCAGTGATCATTTATATAATTTTACAAAGGCACAAACTGTCAAAGCAAAGAATGTCTACTTGGTCCTAGTGAAATAATGAAAACTTATATAACATCACATTAGAATCACATTAGAAGTTATATTATTAGAACAAGCGTGTTCTTGAGTTCAGATTTAAGAAAGTCATGGGAAACAAATAGCACATTTTGTGTTCTAAAGTGTTATGATATTTGCTCAAATATGTTCAACAAAATACCCTATTAAAATGTATAAAACACATGGGTTAAATCACACATAATCTATCGTCTAAATCAAGTTATATCCAACTTTGAAAACAATTATATAAAAAAAGGGGTACAGTTGAATGGTATCAATTTTATTTTAGTCACATTTTCTCCAGCTCAGACTTTTAGAAACATGAAGAATTAAAATCCTAATGTTCTTCAAGAAAAGAAGAAACATTCTCAATGAATTGCATTATTCATGTAAAAATTAATTTTAATTTTTGTTGTTAACTTTTATTTCTTAGAGACGTAGATTTAAAAATTTGCTCTCTAAATTTTCCTTGTCAAATATATTGAAATTACAAAGTACCATCACAAATCTATTAGTTTTTTCTTTTAAAATTCTATAATGAGACTTTAATTTGCCTGAGGGGAGTATGCTCTGCTCTAGCAAATTTAATAATGTATTATTTTCTAAAAATTCAAGCCTAATTTATCCCCCAATTTTGGAAATATAAACCATGCCTTCCAGTAATACTTTTCGACTGAATAGCAAACTTTTACAATCATTATGTATGTGCGTGTGTGTGTGTGTGTGTGTGTGTGTGCGCCATTCTGAATAAAACTAATGCAGTTATTTAGGCACTACATTTTGGATTTTATCTATTTATTTTTAGTCTTAATTTGAAAATCTAGAATTTCATTTACAGTCACAAAGGAAGCTGCATGGTATTTATTTGAGATAATGTAATACTTTTTTTTTTTTTTTTTTGAGACAGAGTTTTACTCTTGTTGTCCAGGCTGGAGTGCAATGGCGCAATCTCAGCTCACTGCAACCTCTGCCTCCCAGGTTCAAGCGATTTCCCTGTCTCAGCCTCCCAAGTAGCTGGGATTACAGGCTCCTGCCACCATGCCTGACTAATTTTTGTATTTTTAGTAGAGACGGGATTTCATCATGTTGGTCAGGTGGGTCTCGATCTCCTGACCTCAGGTGATCCACCCGCCTCAGCCTCCCAAAGTTCTGGGACTACAGTTGTGAGCCACCATGCCAGGCTGATGTTTTTATTAGTCAGTTCAATTGGCTGTACAATTCTCCCTTCTGGTCTTGCTGTGGAAGGTGTGACTTGGTGGTCTCTCTAATTGCCAAGAAGAGATTTATGTTCCCATCCTAGAGGACAAGAAGAACTTAGTTTCCTTCAAATGTGGTTACTATGTTCTAGCCACACTGGCCTTCTTCCTATTCCTTTGAATCATTAACCTCGTGCCTGCCATAATATCTTTGACCTTGCTGTTTTCTTTGAAAAATGTCACCTAGAATCTTCCTATAGCTGAGTCTTTTGTATTATTCACATCTTAGAACAAATATTTTATGTACTATGAGTAGCTGTCACAAATATAATAGTTTTTGCTTTAGCTATGACCATAAAACAAATAATCAAAACATCCATTGCGTTTATTTTTACTACCTTTCTCAAATATTGCCGCCAAATTATTTGTATGATGCACACATCAGTTATCACATTGGCCATACTTACACACATAACTAGGACACAATGATTTAATCTCCCTGTTCATTTGCAAGATGACATTCAAATTTTGACAGAACTTCCCTTGGGTTAGTTTTTCTAATACAGCAGAGAGCTGCCAAAACAACGCTTGGAAGAACAAACAGTATTTCTGTGATTTTTCAGCTGGGTAACTCCTGACAGTCTTTTAGAAGCATGAAGAAAGTCAACTTTTGGAGATTTGCAGTATAAACTGAAGCATATCATCACCCCAAGAGATAAGAAACTTTACATGGCTGAAATGGAATCAAGTCACTGGCAATATCAGCAAGAAGCATTCTGTCACTTTTTTGTTGTAATTCTGTATAACAACCTCTAAGCATGTTCAGTAGATGTCATATTTCAAGACTGCAAATAATTTGTTAACCTTTAATCAAAAAAGTTGAACAGTGTTTCTTCTATCCAATACATTATTCCATCCAAAAAAAAAGAGAAGTCATTCCTTAAAGCTTTGTTTGGAAATCAAATTAGTCATTCTGAAATAACATTGAAATTTGTAGCACAATAAGAGTATTCCCTGTAGACTTTTTGCCATCATAATACTGACATGGAAACATTACTGGTGACAGAGTGGAAATAAGTAATTCACTAGCAAGTTACAATATCTTTTTCCTAATTTAGTTCCTGAGCTTCTATTGAAAGGAGACAGTACATATTGTTATGTGAAAGTCACCCTTAGTACAAATGCTAAATTTCATGAAAACAAGTATTAAGAATTTCGAAACAAAGACAGTTAAAATTGACATCACTGACAATATGGCTAGTATAAGACAATTTGTCTTTTCAAATGTAGCCACTAGTTTATGCCAGTTACAGTCTGTCTTTGTAAAATGGAGATAAACACAATGGCAAAATAGTACCTGACTGCAGCAAAAAAAAAATAAATAGATAAATTTTAAAATACACTTGGCTTTCCAAATAGTCTATATTATGAATATATATTATGTTTATAATTAGATAAAGACCATAAGTACTCTTTTAAAAGGCCATGTATGTTTGCAAGCAACTTCATTATTTGCATGAGTATTTTCTTCTATTCACCGTTTAGTCAGTGAAAAGCTTGAATCTCAATAAATATGTATTCCTCTAGGTAAAAATAAAATTAATATATAATTGTCAAAGGAAACATGTGTCTGTCCCAGCAATGTATCTTTAAAGAAGAGCTAACTCAATACCTTGTTTCTGGTTGTCATTAAATGTAATATGGAAGATCAATCAATCAGGATTCAATTCTAGAGAAAATAATGCATTCTGGTTAGCATAATTAGAAGGGGATTTATTTCAGGGTTCTATGTGGGGATGAAATACTTATTGGATGTTCTGAAATACTAATAAACTCTCTCCTGAGCTTTCCAGATGGGCTAACAAAGCCATACCACAGAATTATTCATCAAAGAAACTGCTGCCCTGTCATTTTAAGATGCTCTGGCTACGACTACAGCTGTTGGTGCAGAACTTCCACCTAAGCTGTGAGCAGAAAATCACCACCAGCCATATTTGGAATTCTCTCTAAGGAAAGAGGCCAGCACTATGAGTGATGCTTCATTTGGTGATTAACTTCGCTCTAACAAAAAATAGTTCTGCACAACCAAAATTATATGAATATTTGATTTCACATTTTTGAATAAAATCCTACTCTAACAACTGGAAATATCAGCAAGAATTACACTATAATATTGTTATTATTGTAATTTTGTGTAACAGTCTTTGAAGAACCTTCTTTCTGTGCTATTTTTCAAGAAGTAATAATTTCTTAATATTTAATTACTAGTGCTGAAGAGTGTTTTCTCAAACCAATGCCTTATTCCATTAAAGAGAAAAAGCCTTCACGTGAGGATTTGGGTATTTTTTTCTAAATCAAGTTACTCATTCTGATGTAATATCTAAATTAATAGCATATTAAAAGTATTCTACGTGTTAACAAAGATCTTCCTTAATATGAACTGTAAGCCACAAGCCTCACTCATTTTTGAGTATTGATTAGATTCCTTTTGGTTGAATAAAATTGGTCCAGTTTTCCTCCAAAAATCAATCTCCTAATATTTAAAATCATTGCTGATGTTTTCTATAAGAATTACCTTCTCAAGTTTATGTTTTCCTATTTCTTTTTCTATATAATATGATTTTCAGATTTTCTTCCATTTTGATCATATTCTCTTGGGCTTGCTCTAGTTTTTAGTAGTTGCCATAAAAAGTAGCCACTTTGTGTGGAATGTGATATTCCAGAACTAATTTGAAATAATAAGAAAAATACAATGAGAACATTCAATTTATTCATTCTAATTCTATCTATGCTTATCAAAAAAATGCCTCAAATATCATCCTGACACAACTTTTATAGACTCATAATTGTCTTTCATGGTTATCCTTCTTTACAGTACTTTTTTTCCAATGAACTGAAAAAACCATATAAGCATAACTTATATGCTTCCACTGCTTCTCTCCCATCTTTGACCAATTACTCATCCCGGACTGAATCAAAAATTTCAGAGTTACTCAAATATTTTTCTATTTCCTCTTTGCTGTTCACTCTGGCCTGTCTTGAAGGAATTTGATAGTTACTTTGACAATTTATTTAACATATAGTACATATTTTTATGATTTTTAAAGCAATATTTCAAACCAGATATCACCTCTAGGCTCCATATTGATGTAGGCAGCTAAACATAACCTGGTCAACTGTGAAATTATTGTCATCCACCTGAACACTTATGACTCCTGAAAGTGTTTCATTTTTAAGTAAATATCACCACTATGCACCTTCTTCAGCTAGAAACCCAGAAATTATTATTGATTTTCCCCACTATCTCATTAGTCCATATCAAAATAATCATTAAATTGTGTTAATTCTAATTCCCAAATAGTCATCTAATCTACAGAATTTTTAATAGTTACACAGCAAATGTCTTCATCTCTTTTGTTGACAATTGTGGTATTCTCCTAATATGTCTCTACATATTTTCTCTTATCTGACTAATGCTTTTTAATGGAACAATCATAGGCATTTAATTTTATCTAATAAAATTTTCAATAGCTTCTGATTGTTCCCAGAAAAAAAAAAGTGAATACAGTTCTTCTTTGGGCCAATCAGTTTTTATGGCAGATCATGTGTCTAGTATCACCTTGACATATGAGGGGTCTTGAAAAATTCATGGAAAATGCATATTATAAAAAAAACTATATATGAGGTTTTTTTTTTGCACAAAATAAACTTGTCCTAGCTTTTTATAACATGTCTTAACATAATGTAGTCTGAGCAATAAGAAAGATGATACATCAATTTGAAAAAAGCCCCTATTAGAGCAATATGAATTCTGCCAAAATGGAAGCAAGAACAAACATCAAATCTGTGGTGAAGCTTGGGTAAAATAATACAAAAATCATTGATGCTTTTTGAAAAGTTCATGGGGAAAATTTCCTAAATAAATTTGCAATTTACAAATGGATAACTTATTTTAGGAAGACACAAGATAATTTTGAAGATGAAGTCCACAGCAGTAGACCATCCATGTCAACTTGGAGGAAAAAAGTAATTTTGTTCATACCATAATTGAAGAGGACAAACAATTAACAGCACAAACAGCCAACAAACTAGATATTTCAATTAGTTCAGCTTACACAGTTCTGATTGAAAAGTTAAATTTGAGCAAATTTTCCACTTGAAGGATTCCAAAACCACGGCACCCAGATTGGCTGTAGTCAAGAGCAAAGCTTTCAATGGAAATTTTTAAAAAGTGATATCAAGATCCTGAAGCACTTCTTCAAATAATCGTAATAGGAGACAGCACATGGCATTACCAGTATAATCCTGAAAGGCAAAGCACAATGAAAGTGGTCCAGTCAACTCAAAAGCAGACTAGTTAAGAGCAAAAGTCATGGCAACAGTGTTAGGGATGCATTTTGCATATTGCATTTTGCATATTGACTTTCCAGAAGGCCAAAGAACACCTGTTTAGGATGAGAGTGTTTTGAGGTAGTTAACCAAAAACTTAGTAGAAAAATGCTTGGGGAAGCTTCGCAGAGTCCTTCTTTGCCATCGTGCTGCTCCTGCTAATTCCTGTCATCAAACAAGGGCAAATTTGTGAGAGTCTCTGTGGGAAATCATTACATATCCTCTGGACAGTTCTGATTTGCCTCTTTCTGAGTTTTTTTGTTTATTTATTTGTTAATACAAAATAATCGTCAAAGAATATTCATTTTTCTTCAGGTAATAATGTAAAAAAGCCAGCCTGCATTGACCTGGTTAAGTTCCCAGAAGTTTACGTTATTTAAAGATGTACTATAAGGCTCATATCATCATTTAAAAAAGTGTCTTGAACTTGATGGAGCTTATGTTGAGAAATAAAGTTTATTTTTTATTTTTATCTTTTAATTCTATTTTTCAACAAACTTTTTGAAGTCTCCTTGTCTTAGCTACACTAGGCTTCCTTGAGTGCTCTAAATATACAGAAGACCTTCAGTCCATAGAACACGCAACATTGAATATCATCTCCTGGCAGCCAGTATACACACTCTATTTAACTGAATATCTTTTCAGTCTTTCTACTTTCATTTAAATGTCACTTATTCAAGAAAATTTCCCCTATTTCTTTGACTAGGCTTTTGGTGTACCTAGTTTTTAAAACAGGATCCAAACCACCCCACATCATCCTTTAATCTCAAATCAAAATGTTGGGCCTGTAAGTGTTTTAATTAATGGAATGCAAAGAAAGAATCATTCTGGGTATTTTGAACCCAGATATATTAAGGAGGTTTGGCAGCATCATTTTCCTCCCTTGAAATCCAGTTGCCTTGCTTTGAGAAAGACCTAGAAAACATGTGGTGAAGTCCACATTGAGTAAAATCGAGGCCCACACCTGAAAGCTTCAGCTGAGTTCCCATCTAACAGCCAGTACCAAGTTTCCAGCCATATGAATGAGTCAGCCTGAAAGTGAAGTATCCAGCCCAGGTTGAGACATTTCAGATGACACCCTACCCTTACCTAACACTGCCAAAGTTGAAAACTAGTGAGTCTTCTACTAAATGTTTTTTTTAAGAGGCTAAATTTTAGAGTGTTTTGTTTTGTTGTGTATGGTTTTTTTTTAACAGAGCAATTGGTTAATAAAATAGATATTTTATCATTTGTGCATCAACAACTACTTAATGTCTTGTGCTGTGGCCACATTTATGAATGAAAAATAATTCTTCATTTAATCACTACCCTATCTTCAATGTATAGGACAATGTCTGTTACGTAGTATATATTCAATAAATATTGATTAATTTCAATAAGTGTCAATTTTTATTGAAAAATAAAATGTATTTAGACTTCCCTATGTCTCACAAATATACTTTTTCTCTGAATGTGTAAGCATAGGATTACATGTATCTTTACCTGTTTTTGTTGTAACTTATTATATATATTGTGATTCCATATGTATTACTTTTCTTGATATGTACTATTTTTAGAGCACAGTCTCTGAAAAACATAGAATCCTCATTAGAAGTTTTAATGTATAATTTTACAATGATTATATTGTACAATAATAATATTGGATAAGAGTCCTACATTAAAATATTTCTTGTATTGTTTATCACAACATGCAGTATAGAAACATTCTAAGAGGAAGCAGATAGACACATTAGATGAGTTATAGGAAATTCAACAATTTGGAATTGAGAAGAACCCCACATAATTTCTAGCACATCCATGAAAACTTCACTAAAAGAGTGTAAATAAATATCATATTTAAGTGATTTGTGATAACAAAAAGAATCAAGAGTTCTCATATTGTATTAGTCCATTCTCACACTGCTAATGAAGACATACCCGAGACTGGGTAATTTATAAAGGAAAGAGGTTTAATTGACTCACTGTTCAGCATGGCTGGGGTGGCCTCAGGAAGCTTACAATCATGGCAGAAGGGGAAGCAAACATGTTTCTCTTCACATGGTGGCAGGAAGGAGAAGTACCTAGAAAAGGGGGAAAAACTCTTATAAAACCACCAGATTTCATGAGAACTCACTATCATGAGAACGGCATGGGGGTAACCTCCCCATGATTCAATTACCTCCCACCAGTTTCCTCCCACAACACATTGGGATTATGAGAACTACAATTCAAGATGAGATTTGGGTGGGGACACAGCCAAACCATATCATTTGTCTTTTTTGAGAATAAAATAATAAAGATAAGGGAATATGTTATTGCATAACTATGTGAGAACTACTGAGACTATACGCAAGATTAAAAACATTTGTAACAATCATATAATAGAACTAACAGTGTGAGGGGATTGTGAAGTGTACATAAAACATAAACAACAAGCCAAATAACTAGCCAGAAGATAGAGTGTATGTGTGTGTGTGTGTGTGTGTGTGTGTGTGTGTGTGTGTTGGCATATAAGATCAAAGGTAAGTTGAAAAAAATGGTCACAAAGCACATTTTTAAAAAGTTATCAAGCCAGAGACTTGTAAATATATACATTTTATTGTTTTTCTTCGAACCTTTAAAATAGGCAGATAAAAAAGTAGTATGTGAAAACAATTGCACTCACAATTTACAACTTAAGTTTGAAATATTCCTAATATAGAAAGTCATACATATACTATGATTATATTGTTACCTTTTAATCATGGGCATTCATTTTTAAACAGAATGTGAATTCATTCCTATATATTTGTGCCTGTGTTTTCTGAATTTCCATATCTTTACACTGAAGTTTGAGACAATTGCTAGTTGATATTAAGTGTAGCAGACATTACTCTGGACCGGCCATATGGAAGTAATCCCAATGATGAGTTGTAACTGACAATCTGAGGTGAAATTTTCCAGGGAATAATTTTTAAAACTGAGGTTTGAAAATTTTCACCTACAAAAAGAGGCTATTTAGTAAGCTAAAATTGATGCTATTACAGGCATATCTGGAGATATTGCAAGTTCAGTTACAGAATACCTCAATAAAGTGAATATCACAATAAACAGAGTCACACAATGTTTTTTGCTTCTCATGGCATATAAAAGTTATATTTACACTATACAGTAGCCTATTAGGTGTGCAATACTATTATGTCTAAAATACAATGTACATACTTTAAAAATATGAAAGAGGTTCAAGAAGGCCGAGTAGATGTAGCTGGAATGTGCATCTTCCATGGACAGGAACCAAAATATCGAGTAAACCTTCACATTCTAACAGATCTTTTGTGAGAGAACACCTAAATTCAATAGAAAGGTGATGGAAGGCACCGTGGTTCAGGAGGGAGAAAGCAGAACTGCCTGCCAGGCCTTGCTGAGCACCAGGACCACCGCTCCAATCTGGATCTGGACCTGGACCCAAGTATGGGATGAATGAAAGAACCCTGAGGATCCACATTTCCACCATGGACCTCTGAGGTTCTCCTACCTGTAAGAGCTCCCACAACCCCTGGGGACCTTTGAACTGTCAGGGGGAGGTGCCTGGAGACCATGCAGAGGCATTGCTCGAATAGGAACACATGGAGCCCAAAAGGTGAATCAAATGTGATTCTGGGTACACACCCAAACGCTCTTCATCCTGCCCTAAGAGGCTTTAGCTCCTGCTCTCTGCCATGCTGGGAAAGAGTAGTGATAAAGGAGTTAAAAAGAAATTATTTAGGCAGTTAGTGAGGTTATGGGAGTCCTCAATATGGTTTTACTTTTAATTAAGAAGCAGCCCCCATATCATTTCTTTCTAACAAAAAGCAGACTGAAAAATCAAGGCCAGGTGCGGTGGCTCACGCCTGTAATCCCAGCACTTTGGGAGGCCGAGGCAGGTGGATCACAAGGTCAGGGGTTTGAGACCTGCTTGACTAACATGGTGAAACCCTGTCTCTACTAAAAATACAAAAAATTAGCTGGGCGTGGTGGCGGGCGCCTGTAATCCCAGCTACTCAGGAAGCTGAGGCAGGAGAATTGCTTGAACTCGGGAGTTGGAGGTTGCAGTGAGCTGAGATCACGCCACTGCACTCCAGCCTGGGCGACAGAGCAAGACTCCGTCTCAAAAAAAAAAAAAAAAAAAAAAAAAAAAGGAAAAAAGAAAAAGCAAGCTGCAAGCATAAATAAGCAAGCTAAAAGCTTGCATTAGTAAACGCCTGTAGCTGTGCCAATAGTAAAGAGATAACTGGAAGCCACGTATATTCAACATGGAGGTTTTCTCTTCCCCTTTCTTTGTCGCCACGTGTGCAGGGGTCATGGTGCCAGCCAGATAGAGACCCCCATCTGCATAATAAAACATTAGAGTGGGATAGCCAGCTTCTTCCTGGTTTTGTAAATGGCACACCTGGTCCAACCAATCCTCTGGGCCTTATGTAAATAAGACACCTCCTCTATAAAACTAACTGTATCCTGATGCAAATGGGGAGAGCTAATCAGAACCCCCCTCCCTCTGCACAGGGGAGCTTTTCTCGCTTTTTCTCTTCTTTCACCTATTAAACTCTCCACTTTTTTTTTTTTTTTTTTTTTTTTTGGAGTTTCATTCTTATTGCCCAGGCTGGATTGAAATGCCGTGGTCTTGGCTCACTGCAACCTCTGCTTCCTGGGTTCAAGCAACTCTCCTGCCTCAGCCTCCTGCGTAGCTGCGAGTACAGGCGTGCTGCTACGCCTGGCTAATTCTTTTTGTATTTTTAGTAAAGATGGGGTTTCACCATGTTGGCCAGGCTGGTCTGGAAGTCCTGACCTCGAGATCCGCCTGCCTCAGCCTCCTAAAGTGCCGGGATTACAGGCCTGAGCCACCTCACCCGGCCCGAACACTCCACTCTTACATCCGCTCCTGGTGTGTCCCTGTCTTCGATTTCCTTAGCACGAGGCAACAAACCTCAGGTTTTTTCCCTGGACAAATGACACTTTTTCAGAAGAGCCTGGGCACACTCACACACCCAAAGACACGCCCCAACACTATTGCCACAGGAAAAAGGTGCACCTGAGCCACATGCCTGCCTGTCCCCCCCAAGACTGCCTGCCTGGTGTCCTGCAGGAGATGATTCACAGCATAGCCTCTATTGCCCTACCTGAGTGTTTTGTTCTCAGGGTTGGAGCAATTTACCACTGTACCACAGGCAGTGCTTGGCACCAAAGGGCCAAAGGACAAATCCACTGGCCTGATTCCAGGTCCACAGGAGTTGAACACGTCACCCAGGTATATGGAGATAAAATCTGTGGCCTGATCTTGATCTGGGGAGGAGCCAGCAGTGACAGAATACAGAGAAATGTGTGATGCAGATTCTGGGGGATGTGGTGCAGGAGCTGGTGCCCCTTTGAGAGGCTGGACCAGGAAGAATGTGGCATAATAGCTGCTTTCTGCCCCAGGGATTATCACAGCCTGGAATGTGTGGAATAGCTTAGCAATCTGGGCACAGGTGGCTTGGGACTAGTTTTGCTGGTTGGGCTTGCTGCCAGGCCCAGACACCAGAGAGAGGCCTGCCATGTTGTGGGAAGTCAGAAACCCTGAACGGAGGGACCAGCTGGAGCCATGGCAGAGGAAACATAAATTGTGAGGATTTCATGGACATTTACCACTTCCCTAATAATACTCTTATAATTTCTTATGCTTGTCTTACTTTAATCTCTTAATCCTGTTATCTTCTTAAGTTGAGAATGTACGTCACCTCAGGACCCTGTGATGTTTGTGTTAACTGTACAAATTGATTGTAAAACATGTGTGTGTGAACAATATGAAATCAGTGAACCTTGAAAATGAACAAAATAACAGCGATTTTAGGGAACAAGGGAAGACAACCATAAGGTCTGAGTGCCTGCGGGGTCGGGCAAAAAGAACCATATTTTTCTTCTGGCAGAGAGCTTATAAGCAGACGTGCAAGTAGGAGAGATATCGCTAAATTCCTTTCCTAGCAAGGAATATAATATTAAGACCCTAGGAAAAGCATTGCATTCCTGGGGAGAGGTCTATAAACAGCCGCTCTGGGAGTGTCTGCCCTATGCAGTTAAGATAAGGACTGAGATACGCCCTGGTCTCCTGCAGTACCCTCAGGCTTACTAGGATTGGGAAACCCAGCCCTGGTAAATTTGAGGTCAGACTGGTTCTCTGCTCTTGAACCCTGTTTTCTGTTAAGATGTTTATCAAGACAATACATGCACGGTTGAACATAGACCCTTATCAGGAGTTTCTGATTTTGCCCTGGTCCTGTTTCCTCAGAAGCATGTGATCTTTGTTCTCCTTTTTGCCCCTTGAAGCATGTGATCTTTGTGACTTACTCCCTATTCGTACACCCCCTCCCCTTTTGAAATCCCTAATAAAAACTTGCTGGTTTTGTGGCTCAGGTGGGCATCACAGACCTACCGATATGTGATGTCACCCCTGGCAGCCCAGCTGTAAAATTCCTCTCTTTGTACTCTTTCTCTTTATTTCTCAGACCAGCCAACACTTAGGGAAAATAGAAAGAACCTATGTTGAAATATTGGGGGTGGGTTCCCCCGATACTGCCAGATCTAGGTTGTGGAAGCTGGGTGGGTCCCAAGGACACCTGCTGGGCTGAAAACCCCAAGCCACCCCTCTTCTCCTAAGAGGCATCTGTGGCTCAAGAGTGATGCCTCGTGCCCCTCCTGGTTGGTTGTCTCTATGGCCTGAGAGTGGCCCCTAAATCCAAGAGAGTATCAGCACTTGCATCAGCTGTCCAGATGCAACCCTGCCCAGCTTTGCCACCTTGGCAGCAGAGCACAGGATGAGATCACTGGAAGCCTAATCCCCTGCCCTTCACCAGAGACACCCCAGTATTTTCCTTGAACAACAAAGGCCAAGTAAAATTTCCACTGCCATCACAGCAACTATTACCCACAACTGCCACCTACTGTCACATAGCATAAACTGCAATATAATTCCTGCTGACAGAAGTGCACAGTGGTGGAAAATGAGCTAAGCCTCCCAAGACTCGACTTCCCCATCTCCCTAGGAGACAATGAGTCTGATCACAGGCACAGCACACCAATATAATAATCTACAAAAAACTAAACAATGCTAACTGTACTAATGAGTACACCAGTCCTACAAGAAATCCTCCAGGAAGTTCTAAATGTGGAGATGAAAAGGCGATACACTCTATTATAAAAGTACATGTAATTAGAGAACTCACAAATCTTATAAAGCATTTAGACAATTAAGAATCCAAGGCAACTTACTAACAATACTATGGCAGTAAAGAAAACTCACATATTCGTATAAACCTTGAATGTTGATGCCCTAAATTCCTCACAAAAAATATATAGTCAAATTGGATTAAAAAAAACATGACCCGGAAAAACATGATCAGGAAATTCATACACCTAAAAGCCCAAAGCCCCCTAAAAGCACAAAGAAAAGCCAAAGGACCCTACTCAACACACACAATAGTCACATCCTCAAGGGGGAAAAATTCTACCCAAATGAAAAGTAAATTCAGAAATAAGAAGTAGCAGCATCTCTAAATAAGAAGAAACCAGCACAAAAAAAAACCATCATCAGAAAGACACAGAATGTTATGACACCCCCAAAGTACCACACTAGCACTGTGGCAATGGATCCTAACTAAAATGAAAACTTTGAAATGACAGATAAAGACTTCAAAATATCAATTGCAAGGAAGTTCAATGAACTCCAAGAATAAGTTGGAAAACCAACACAAGGAAACCAAAAAGAAAAAACAGTTTAGAAGATGAAAGACTATATATATATATATATATATATATATATTTAACAAGAAAAACAGAGCTTTGAGAAATTAGAAATACACTGAAGGAATTTCAAAGCACAGTTGTAAGCATTAAAAACATAAAAACAGACAAAGACAAGCAGAAGACAAAAAATGAAGCTTAAGGACAAGTCTTTTTAATTATCCCAGCCAGAAAAAAAATAAAGAAAAAAGAATTTTTAAAAATGAATAAGGTCTTCAAGAAACATGGGATTATGCAAAGTGACCAAAGATACAACTTATAGGCATTCCTCAGGGAAAAAAAGAAAAAGAAGTTTGGAAAATATATTTGAAAGAATAATTCAGGAAAATTTCCCTAATCTTGCTAATATGTAGATATTATATACAAAAATGTAGAGACACCTGGCAGATATTATACAGGGCAAACATCACTAAGGCCTGTAGTCATCAGACTATCCAAGGCCCAGGTGAAAGAACAAATCTTAAAAGCAGCTAGAGAGAAGTGTCATGTCACCTATAAAGGAAATTCCATCAGATTAATAGCAGACTTCTCAGCAGAAACCATACAAGCCAGAAGAGACTGGGGATCTAACTTTAACCTTCTTAAAGAAAAATAATGACAACGAAAAATTGTATATCCTGCCAAACTAAGCTTCATAAATAAAGGAGAAAGAAAGTATTTCCAAGAGAAGCAGACACTGAGATAATTCATTATGGGTACACCAGTTCTACAAGAAATCCTCAAGGAAGTTCTAAACATGGAGATGAAAAGATGATACACTCTGTTATAAAAGTACATGTAATTAGAGAACTCACAAATTTTATAAAGCAATTAGACAATTGAGAATCCAAGGCAAGTAACTAACAATACTATGGCAGTAAAGAAAACTCACATATTAGTATAAACCTTGAATGTTGATGCCCTAAATTCTTCACATAAAATATATAGATTGTCAAATTGGATTAAAAAAAACATGACCCAACCATCTGTTATCTAAAAAAGACCCACTCCACTTAAAACATCTGTAGGCGCAAATTAAAGTGATAGTAAAGATATATCACATACATGGAAAACAAAAGCAAGCAGGAAAAGCCATTCTTAAATCAGACAAAACAGACTTTAAGCCAACAACAGTTTAAAAAAAAAAGAAAAAGAAGGGCATTACATAATGATAAAGAAATCAGTACAACAAGATTCAACTATCTTAAATATATATATGCACACAACACTGCAGTATTTAGATTTCTAAAACTAATACTACAAGACCTAAGAAAAGAGATTGGCAGCAACACAATAACAGTGGAGGACATCAACACCCCACTGACAACACAAGACAGGTTATCAAGACAGAAGGTCAACAAAGAAACTCTGGAATTAAATTGGACTCTAGACCAAACAGCCAAGGAGTATACATTTTTCTCATTGTGCTTGGAATATTCTCCAAAATTGATCATATGCTTGTCCATAAAGTAAGTCTCAATATATCAAAAAAGTAGATAATATCAAGTATCTTTTAGAACCATAGAGGAATAAAATTAGAAATCAATACCAAGGGGACTCTTAAAACTACACAAGTATATGGACACTAAACAACTTGCTTCTGAATGACTTTTGGATAAACAACAAAATTAAGGCAGAAATCAAAAAAAAGTTTTGAAATAAATGAAAACAGACACATGACATACCAAAACCTCTTGAATACAGCAAAAGTAGTGCTAAGATAAATTTCCACATCAAAAACAGAAAGATTTCAAATTTACAACCTAGCTTTGCACCTCAACAAACTAGAAAAGCAAGAACAAACAAAACCCAAAGCTAACCAAAGAAAAGAAATAACAGAAATCAGAGCAGAACTAAATGAGATTGGGACCAAAAAATAATACAAAAGATCAACAAAATACAAATTTGTTACTTTGAAAAAATAAATAGAACTGATAGAATGCTGGCTAGTTTAGCCAAAAAACAAGAGAGAAGATACAAATCAGCACAATCAGAAATTATAAAGGTGATATTACAACTGATAACACAGAAATATAAAAGGTAATCAGAGGTTACTATGAATATCTCTATGTGCAGAAACCAGAAAGTCTGGAATAAATGGGCAAATTTATGCAAAAATATAACCTCCCTAGACTTAACCAGGAAGAAATAGAAATCTTGAATAGATCAATAATGAGTAATGAAATTGAACCGATCATAGAAAATCTTCCAGCAAAAAAAGTCCACAGCAGACAGATTCAAAGCCACATTTTACCAGATGTACAAAGGAGAGCTAGTACCAATCTTACTGAAACTATTCCAAAAACTGAGGAGGAGGGATTCATCCATTACTCATTCTACAAAACCAGTTTCACTCTGATAACTAATATCATTCAAGGACACAATAGCAACAACAGAAAAATTACTGGCCAATGTTCTTAGTGAACATAGATGCAAAAATCTTCAACAAAATACTAGTAAACAGGATTCAACAGCACATCAAAAAGGTAATTCATCATAATCAGGTGGGTTTTATTTCAAGAATGCAAGGATGGTTCAGCATTTACAAATCAGTAAGTGTGATTCACCATGTAAATAGAATTATAAACAAAATCATATTATTATCTGAATGGACACAGAAAAAGCATTTGGTAAAATCCAACATTTCTTCATAATAAAAACCCTCAACAAACTAGATATTGAAGAAACATACCTCAAAATAGTAAGAGCCATCTATGACAAACCCACAGCCAACATCATGCTGAAGGGTTAACAGTTCAAGGCATTCATTCCCCTTAAGAATTGGAACAAGACAAGGATGTTCACTATGATCACTCCTATTCAACACAGTACTGGAAGTCCTAGAAAGAGCAATCAGACAAGAAAAAAAAATTAAAAAAATATCCAAATTGGAAAAGAGAAAGTCAAATTATTTCTATTTTCTGGTGACATAATCTTATATTTAAAAAACCCTAAAGACTTATCCAAAAGACTCCTCCACTTGAAAAACAACTTTAATAAAGTTTCAAGATGCAAAATCAACATAAAAAATTAGTATCATTTCTGTACATCTGTAGTGTTTAAACTGAAATTCAAATCAAGAACTCAATCCCCTTTACAATAGCCATACAAAAATTAATTACCTAGGTAGGAATAAATTTAACCAAAGAACTGAAATATCTATAAAAGAAGGACCATGAAACACTGATGAAAAAAAATCATAGATGACACAAAAAGTAAAAAATCATCCCATGCTTATGGTTTGAAAGAATCAATATACTCAAAATGACCATACTGCCCAAAGCAACCTACAGATTAAATGCAATTTCTAACTAATTACCAACATCATTCTTTACAGAATTAGAAAAACAACCCTAAAGTTTATGTGAAACCAAGAAAAAATTCCTGAATAAGCAAAGCAATCCTAAGCAAAAGATCAGAGCCAGAGACATTACATTACCTGACTTCAAATTATACTACAAGGTTGTATTAACTAAAACAGCATAGTGCTAGTACAAAAATAGACACATAGATCAATGGAACAGAACACTTAACTCAAAAATAAAGCAACATATCTACAACCAAATGATCTTCAACAAAGTCAACAAAAGTAATGAGTAGGGATAGGGCACCCTATTCAATAAATGATGCTGGGAAAACAAGATAGACCATATGCAGAAGAACAAAACTGTACCCCTACTTCTCCATATATACAACACTCAACTCAACATGAGTTAAAGACTTAAATAAAAGACTTCAAACTATAAAAGTCCTAGAAGAAAATCTAGAAAAAACACTTCTGGATATTGGCCTAGGCAAATAATTTATGACTAAGACCCCAAGGGTAAGTGCAACAAAAATAATAATAGACAAATGAGAATTAATTATACTAAAAAGCTTCTGCAAAGCCAAAGAAATAATCAACAGGGTAAATAGACAACCTACAGAATGAGAAAAATATTTGCAAATTATACCTCTGATAAAGGACTAATATTCTGAATCTATCAGAAAATTAAACAAATCAATAAGAAAAAAAGCATTAAAAGTAGGCAAAAGACATGAACAGCTATTTCTCAAAAGAGGACATATAAGCAGCCAACAAGCATATGAAAAAGTGTTCAACATCATTAATCATCAGATAAATGTAAATTAAAGCCACAATGAGATATCATCTTACACCAATCCAAATAGCTATTATTAAATGTCAAAAAACAACAGATCTTGGGATTCCTGAGTCAAATGTTATTTCTATTTTTAGTTTTTTCATAGATCTCTGTACTTTTTGTTTGTTTGTTTGTTTGTTGGTTGGCTGAGATGCAAACAAAAGGGAATGCTTATATACATAGAAAAGGGAAGGTTAGTTAGTACAAACTCTATGAAAAACAATATGAACAGCACTTTGGGAGACTGAGGCGTGTGGATCATCTGAGGTCAGGAGTTCGAGACCAGCCTGGTCAACATGGTGAAACGCCATCTCTACTAAAAATACAAAAATTAGCCGGGTGTGGTGGTGGTTGCCTGTAGTCCCAGCTACTTGGGAGGCTGAGGTAGGAGAATTGCTTGAACCTGGGAGGCAGAGGTTGCAGTGAGTTGAGATCATACCACTACACTCCAGCCTGAGCAACAGGGTGAGACTCTGTCTCAAAAAAAAACAACGAAAACAAACAAACAAACAAACAAAAAATACAGAGATCTATGAAAAAACTAAAAATAGAAATACCATTTGACTCAGGAATCCCAATACTGGGCATCTACTAAAAGGAAAATAAATCATTATATTAAAAAGACTTCTGCACTCATATATTTATTGCAGCACTATTCACAATAGCAAAGTCTTGGAATAAACCTATGTTTCAATCAATGGTGGACTGGATAAAGAAAATGAAGTGTATATACAAAAATTAGCTGGGCGTGGTGGCAGGTGCCTGTAGTCCCAGCTATTCAGGAAGCTAAGACAGGAGAATTGCTTCAACCTGGGAGGCTGAGGTTGCAGTGAGCTGAGATCATGCCACTGCACTCCAGCCTGGGCAACAGAGCAAGACTCCATCTCAAAAGAAAAAAAAGGAAATAATAAACACTAGCAACTTAAAAGTGAGAGGGTGAGAGGGAGGTAAGGGTTGAGAATTACCTATTGGGTACAATGTTCACTATTTGGGCGATGGATATACTAGAAGCTCAAACCTCACCATTATGCTGTATATTCATGTAACAAGCCTACAATGTACCCCCTTAATCTAAATTTTTTAAAAAGAGATAAATAATAAAAATAAATTATTACTAAAAGTGCTAACAGTCATCTGAGTCTTAAGCAAGTCATAATCTTTTTGCTAATGATAGATCTTGAATCACTGTTGATGACTGCTGGCTGATCAGCAGGGTGGTGGCTGAAGGTTGGGATTGCTATGATAACTTTTTTAAAAAAGAAAACAATGCAGTTTGCTGCATTGATTGACTCTTCATTTCACCAAAGATTTATTTCTAGCATGTAATGCTGTTTGACAGCATTTTATCGGCAGTTAAACTTCTTTCAAAATTGGAGTCAATTATCTCAAATTTTGTTGCCGCTTTATCAACTAAATTTATATAATATTCTAAATCCTTTGTTTTCATGTCAATGATTTTTACAGCATCTTCACTAGGAGTAGATTCCAACTCAAGAAATTCCTTTTGTTCATTTATAGGAAGCAGCTCCTCATCTGTTCAACTTGTATCATGAGATTGCAGCAACTCAGTCACATCTTTAGGCTCCACACCTACTTCTTCCTATTTCCACCATATTGGCAGTAAATTTCTCCACTGAAATCTCGATCTTCCAAACTCATTCAGGAGGATTGGAATTAACTTCTTTTTAACTTCTACTAGTGTTTATATTTTGATCTCTTCCCACGAATTATGCATGTTCTTAGTGGCATTTAGAATGATGAATCCTTTCCAGAAGGTTTCAAATTAACTTTGTCCAAATTCATCAGAGGAATCATTATCTATGGCAGCTATAGTCTTACAAAATGAATTTCTTAAGTAATAAGACACAAAACTCAAAACTATTCCTTGAATTACCAAAATGTGATAGAGAAACATAAAATGAGCATATACTCTTAGGAAAATTACAATAATAGAATGTCTTGATACAAGGTTGATGCAAACCTTCAATTTGTATAAACACAATATTGCAAAGCACAATAACATGCAAAACAATTAGATATGCCTGTATATCCTTTTATAAAATATCTCAAGATGCTTTTGTGACTTCTTAAAGAAATTTCATAAATTAACAATTTTTTAATGTAATTTGGGACAATGTCAATGCCACATGTACATAAGTCATTATACAGGGACAGATTCAGAATTACAGGCCATAAAGAATTATGTTTCTTGGGTTCTTAGAACATATAAAACAATATAAACTGTTGCAAAATCAACAAAATAAGTTGAAATAAATTTTTAAAAATTGATATTCAAAGGAATTTTATTGAACATATGAATATGTGCTACAGGTTCTACTCCTTAATACTTATCATGAAGTTAGAAGGGCTAGTCAAAAAGACCAGGATAAAAATATCTTATTTATCAGTTCAAACTAAAAACCAAGCTACTTTATATATCTGTTGTTTAGTTTTAGATTAACAATAAACTATGATTGCCCATGATCAAGAGAAAAAAACTACAAGATATTCAATCAAAACAATCTTTAGCTTGACCTAAGATAAAATGCCTGAGTCTGGAATTCAATCCTGTCATATTTGTTGTAAGATTTGGGCAATAACTTGAACTCCTAATAAATTGTTTTATTATGGCATTTCTTTCTCTCTGCACCTATGAAAAATGTGAGAATACGATGAGAAAATACTTTTGGAAGTGGAAATGTATCACATAATAAGGTGGTAATAAGTTAGTAGCCCTGCCTACCTCGGTGATTACCCGCCTCTTGTAAGTTATAATACCCACTCTACCCCAGCCTCTGGTTTCAGCCACATGGACTTTTATAACAACCATGTGGTCTTTCAACTAAGTCATACTGCCCCTTGAGCAGGCTTTTTGCCCAACAGTTTGTTCCTTCACCAGGATATTCTTGACCTTTGTGTGCTATGCATGCCTCCTACACTCCTCTTTGCTTAATTTTGTTCTGCTCATCTTCAGATCTCCACTCAGACACCTTTTCCTCAGAGTAGCTTTCCTCAAACTATAGAACACCTGTTCCTGCTTTCCCTCTTCCCACTTTGCCAAAAGCTTAATCAAGATCTGTCACAAATCATCATAGTCATCGTGCTTTCCCTTCAAAAAACTTGTCAGAGTTTTAATTTGACAATTATTTATAACTATTAAATGGATTTTGATAACTTATATGATCTCTGATAATATTGGTGTTTGTTAATCATGGTATTTCCAGAGCTTAATACAGCAATATGCATATATTAAATATTTAATAACTAAAGGTTCAATGAATCACATGAATAAGAATACAGATTTCAACATCTCTTTTTTTAGGTCTTTGCTTAAATATGAGATACATCCTTGATCAACTTATTCAAAATTGCATCACATTTACTTCCCACTTTTCTTTCCTTCATCCTTCTTTATTTTTCTGTATAGTATTTATTTTCTGACATACCATGTAACTAATGCTTGTTACAAAGTAGGGATAAAGAATAAATAATTGATTAAACATAATAAAGCTTTGGCTTTTATATTTAAAGACAGGTCAAATAGTTTGGGCAATACTATTTATTCTTAATGTTTATTAGAGTTGGGCTTACAATTAGTTATTATATCTCTTCGATGCTGGAGTTGCAAGAGGGTCTTCAAGAGGATGAAGAAGTAGTGAATTTGTATCATTGAGAAGCAGCTATGCATCTGGACTGCAAATACAAAATGCATAAATTCCAATTCTGGCTTCAACACTTAGAAGCTATAAGCCCTTAACAAGTTATTTAATCTTTTTAAGCCTCAATTTCTTCAACTATAAGGCTGAGAAAGGATCACGATAATAGTTTTTTCTTTTTTTTTTTTTTGTTTTTTTACCTAATAGGATTGCTAGGAAGATTACAAGAGATAATACATGTAAATGTTTTATACAGTATTTGATATATAGCAAGAACTCAATAAATATTACTTTTGCTGTTACCTATGATGATGCTAGAGCAGGAGATCACTTCCAAAAATGTGAGAAAATACAGGCATTGATGCAATTGCTCTGGAGGTCTGATATAATCATATTAGTTCATTGCTATAACATAATCCTATCCACACAGGCCATCCCCTGATAATTACTATTGGTATAACTGCAATTAATATATATGCTTTTATACTGTATGAAAAACGCTTGCTGATATGCTGGGTAGAGTGAGGATACTAAACCATTTACAAGAGTCTTTTCTTCCAAGTAGTTTGTATGAAGAAACATAATCTGAGACAATAATTAAAATATGACCTGAAATATTAACAAAATAATTGTTATAGAAATCCAGTGGACAGAAAGCTCATCTGCTGTTGTGTTAATTAGGAAATTTATATAGAGATGGTTGTCTTTTTACTTGGACGTTGACAAAGGATCAAGGTAAACCTGCAGAGATCAACCTACCACATTATAAAAATTGATGACACTCTTCTCTTTCAAAAAAGTGAAATATCAGAGAAGTTCAGCTTTCCTAGAAAATATGATAAGCAGCCTCATTCACACAAAATTTTAATTTTGCAAGCACTTTTGTTTGGATATAAGTGCAGCATTCTCATGTAAGTCAAAATTTACTTTTCACAATCTGATACTCAACAATTTGTTTCTTCCTTTTTTTTTTTTTTTTTTTTTTTTTGAGGCGTCTCACTCTGTCACCCAGGCTGGAGTGCAGTGGTACAATCTTGGCTCAATGCAACCTCCATCTCCCAGGTTCAGGCAATTCTCCTACCTCAGCCTCCTGAGTAGCTGGGATTACAGCTGCCTGACACCACGCTTGGCTAATTTTTGTATTTTTAGTAGAGACAGGGTCTCACCATATTGGCCAAGCTGGTCTCAAACTCCTGGCCTCAAATGATTCACCTGCCTTGGCCTCCCAAAGTGCTAGGATTATAGGAGTGAGCCACCGCACCCAGCCAGACACTAAACAATTTTACTGATTAGAATGGATTGATGAAAATTCATTTTCACATAGGAAACATTTGCATTTCTAAAGAGTATTTTTTTGAAATTTCACTCATCTGTAGAAACAATAAAAGATTACTATTTTGTCAATAGTTAAAATGGTTTGGGAGTGCTTGAAAATTATTTATTTCTTCAATCTTAAATATTCCCTTTACAACTTTTATATCAGTCATATATTCCGCTAATTTTTCTCCACAAATAGTATCAAGACAAAAGAAACTTCAATACAACTCTGCTTCAAATAAAATTTTGAATTGATAATATTTTACTAATAATATTTAATATTAGTTGTAATTATTCAATTAGAATATCTTCATTTTTATTATTCAAAAACAAATAAGAGAGGAACTGTATTCTAATTGAATAAAATCAGACTGTTACCAGAAATCATCATTTTTATCTAAAATAACTTGTTCTCAGTTCATGTGGAAAGATTGCAATAACATCAGCCATGGTCACAGAGAACGTGGGAGAGCTTTGTCATTTGGTATATGTCAGAAATAGAAGCTAATTTTAGTAGATAAATCAGGCTGGTTTTAGAGAAGCCTTTCCAGTCAACAGTGCCAGAAACATGTGAACTCAAGCAAACCCAAGATAACTTTGCCACTATACATTTTAAGAGGTAGCATTCATCAAATTCCAAGGAAAGAGTTATTCTATCTGATTTCATGAGCATGCCCTAATTACCATGCTGATGTCTGCAGACAGCCGTGATCTCAGGTTATGGTACCCTAAGGATTCATACCAAGCACCTGAATGACCCCATGCATGGAGTTAGTTTTATTTGGGAGGATTTATCGTCTCTTCTCAGAGTCTAAATGATCGTGCTTTTAATTCCAACTTTCCTGGTTTGTCAGACACAAAGTTTTCAGATTTATTATTCTATTCACATACTTCCCTCTTTGTTTTATTATTTTTAGAATTATTTCCCATAAAAGAGAAGAACAAAATAACTTACCTCCTTTATTGAAGACCGATGAGGTAATTTTTATATCCACACTTAGCACATATCACTAGGATAAATGTAAATTATTATAACCTTGTTTAAAATTCAGTAAATTAATAGTCTATCAACATTTTAAAACGTTACTTTTAACGGAGCAATAGCATTCGAGTGATGTAATGCCAAAGAGAAAAAGCATTATTGCAAAAATAACACTCAAAAATGTGTTAGTTGAGGCTCTGTTTGAATGGGGGAACACTGGAAAAATGTAAGTGTCAATACTATGTGAGTAATAAATACATTTTCTACTGCAAAATAGTAACTATTCAAAAGAGCAATGGACTTCCAGTTCTAGTAAAATGATGAACTAGACTAGAACCAAAAACTCTCTATACAAATACCTAGATATACCTGGAAATGTATAATTTATTCCCACCTTTTTTAAAAAATATGATTTAATGTACAAGAAAGAAAAAAAAAATACCCGTGTACCAAATACGAAGTAAAAGCTGAATGTCAAAGCAGTAAGCAAATGAGATGATATTATGGCAGTCCTGAAGAATAAGTTGAATTGTATAGTGATTAAAGGTTTAGAATAGGTTTTAATGCCATATTATGATAGAAGACAAGATCCTCCAACTAGAAGTTCAATGATAAAGACACAAAATTACTCTACCCACTGACTCAGGGAGATGAAAAGCAATTAATGGGCATAGAGCACACACCACAAGCAAATTCAAAATTTCTGTGAGCAGAAAGTTCCTCAATATCCCCTGTGAGAATCTCATGGGGTGGAAAATTAATTTATGCTTTTATAACATAATATAAGTTATATAATTATGAGTTTATAACTAACACTTTCATGAAATATACAAGGAAACAAACCACCCTAAGTCAGAGAAGGAAGATGCAACAAAAGAATTGGCACACCCAAGAATATAAGTGAAAAACAACAAAAGTAACATGAATAAACTATAAACTAAAGATATTTGCACAATAAAAAATGGAGATTTTTATAAGTTGTTAAAAGGAAAAGACATTATGAAGGATAAAAATGAGTTTTCAAAGAAAATCCAGGGAATACTCCTATGAATAAAAAATAAAGGTTTATTTTTTAAATACGGACTGAATGTAAAACAACAAATAAAGACAAAAAAAGAACCTGAATATATGTCAGAAAAAAAATATATAAAATGTGCCACGAGGGGCAAATAAGCTGAATATATGTAGGACATATTGAGAGACTTGAGGTATCTAAGGAGGAGGTCAAATATACACTGAATTATGAGTTAAATCTTTAATTCTTGTATTAGAGGGTTTTTCAAAATGTATTGGTAAATAAGAAAAGCAGAAAGCAAGAAGTTGAATTTATTATAACCTTGTTTTTGTAAAACAAACAGTACCAAATATAAAAAGAAACTCTGAATGTGTATGCAATATTATTTGATCATGGCAGAAGTTGTTGAAAAACTCCTACCAGATTGCTTAAGCCACTGGAGTCAGAATAAGAACAAGAGAAGGGAAGAGAGTAGAAAAGAAGTATGGCAAAAAAAGATAAAAGCAGTTATGTTTTTAAAGGTAAAATTATTTTAAAATGTCTGCCATGATCTTGCTTATGTAGAATTTTATGTAAATATTTGTCCATTATGCACATCATGAAGAAATCATTATCAGAATGACAATGCCAGTTATCTCCAGGTGAATTTGTGTGATTTTTTACTTTCTTCCTACAAAGCTTAAGAAACAAGTTTTTTATGCAATTAGTGATAAAGAAAAGGTGGAGACAGAGAAATGCAGTTGGACATATTTCTGTATTCAGGTTTGTTGCTATGGTGCACATGAAGTAAACTTCACCTTCATGTTTGTCTTCTCACTTCCTATTTCTGAGCAGCTCATGTTAGCATTGAGGCTGCACCTCTCATAGTCACATATTGGGCTTGCTGCTCCAGTTGGTTTGGATATATTCTTGGCCAAATGAAAAAGAGAGCAACTAATCACAACAATCTGCAAAAATATGCCATTTAGATTTTGAAATTATTCTAAATTTCAGAACTCAATATACCACCTTTTCTGTTATTCCCAGGAGTTGAGAAATCTAATATCAGTAGTTACCAGGTGATACCTATTACTTGTATTATTTAGAATTATTTTTATTACTTAATTTATTATTAATATATCTAATTGAAACAAATAAGATATAAAGTAAATTTTAAAATACCACAATATTTAGCAATTACAATAATCTTTTTCAAAAGTAACACCTAAGAAAGAGATTTTTACAAAAATACTCATCTATTTTTAAAGAGCAATATATTTCTGTACTAAGTAGAATAAAATAAAATAGGCAGTCTTATGTTAAAAATAAATTCTAGTTTACTTGGTGTGTGATACTGTAAATCATTTCTCCTTATTGACTTTGATATTATCAGAATTTTTATTTAATAATAAAATGATGTCAATTTTTATTTAATAATAAAATGATGTCTAAATCTTTATACAATATGTTCCCTCCATAAAGCCTCCCTCCTCGAAAGACACTCTATTTTCGTCAAGTTTTACAATGAATACTTGATGTACAAAGCACTGCTTTTTAAAGAAATCAGCATATTAAAGTCAAGCGCTTTCTCTATGTGTATGTGTCATTGTTAATGAATATGCATTTAATATAAATGTGTGTGTTTTTTATGAAAAATTGTTGTTGTTGTTTTTCCCTGTTGGGTTTTTTACAAGGATCATACCAAAACAAAAAACAAAACGTGCTATAGCTTTAATGATCTATTTCACTGCATGGTGACTATAGTTTAATAATGTACTACGTATTTCAAAATTGCTAAAATAGATATTTAATGTGCTCACCATACACACACACACACACACACACACACACACACAAAGATAAATTGGTGAGGTGATAGATATGTTAAGTAGCTTGATTTAACCTTTTTATAACATATACATATATCAAAACATTACATTGCAACCCATCAATATATACAATTACCTGTCAATTAAAAATAAATTAAAATACACACACACACACACACACACACACACACACGCACACAGAGCATACCATTCCTGGAAATGTTTAGGAGAAACAAGGGATCATGTGTCTCATTCCCTTG
Source organism: Homo sapiens (assembly GCF_000001405.40). Lineage (NCBI taxonomy): Eukaryota > Metazoa > Chordata > Mammalia > Primates > Hominidae > Homo > Homo sapiens. The sequence goes on from NC_000010.11 coordinate 56,838,102, forward strand.
TGTTACAATTAACTCTTTTATTCTTTCATTGAAGATAATAACCATGACTCCTAGAGAGTTATGAGTATCATCATTTGGATTTTAATGCTGAAGTTAGACCTTTAGTGTCATCATTAATGACTATGCATTCAGTATTTTAATACTATTGAGGAAAATAATTAGTTACAGCTGAATTAAGCAGATACCAGCTGGAGTTCTAATTCATTAACAGGATGCCAGCATAACTTGTAAGGTTGTCTGGAATCAAACTTTTATACGGTTCATATTAACATCTATTTAATCAATGCCTTTATTTTAGTGTATAGTGTATGAATCTGACTCAGCTTTCTTAGGACCTGAGCCAAATTTATCTTTGCTTCATCAAATTGAAGAGTTTGATCAAAAGAAATTTATTGCAATTACAAATTTTCTAAAATTACTTTAACTGATAAACAATTTCATCATATGAATGATTTTGCCAAAATATAGCTTTAGAAGTTACACAGCTGAAAGAGACTGAATGTAAAATACACACTATTATTTTAAAAATCTTGAATTCTTAGCAGCTTTGGATAATTATTTGCTTAGATATGCTTTACTACTGGTATTACAAGTCATATAGAGACTAACTTTGATATTCTTCTCCATATTTCAAGTCTTTTAAACAACTCCAGTTCTTGAGAGTGATTTTCATCATCATTTCAATTCTCTGTTACACCTTTTTAAAACAATTCAACACATTGTACAATCAAGTGGATTAGAGGTGACAAGTATTAGGGGTGTAAAATGTTAATAGGTACTGCTGTCAGGAGCCCAGCACAACAAGTAATTTCTTTGGAAAAGAAAAAATGACATAAAACTAAATGCAGAAACAAGTCAGAAATACAAATAGTGGCCCCTTAAAAGGTAATGGAAGATTATAAAGGAGGTGCTTAAAGATTAAACTATTTTAGCCTCAGAATTTAAAGATAGGGAAATGGATGAGAAGTGATTTGAGTATAAGCTTTTTGCTGGCAAGGGGTATAAAATTTATGTTGATGGGCTTAGAATATTTAGAAAATTATTTAGACTTTCTGTTTAAGAAGTGAGTTTCTATAGTAAAAGTTTATCTGGTTGATGTCATCTTTCTACACTAAGTAATATATAGAATTAGGCATATAACAGTCTTGACACCTTGATTTTTTTTAATCTAGGAACAACTGTGCAGTAATAACCCTTACTTCATTTTGTCTTAGAGCATTTAGAACTTCTCCTTACTTTTTACATTTGTTATACAGATCTTAGGTAAATTAGAAAATGTATCTCCTTTGATTAGATGAGGTATTAGTCTGTTTTCAAACTGCTATAAAGAACTGCCTGAGACTGGGTAATTTATAAAGAAAAGAGGTTTAATTGACTCAGTTCAGCATGGCTGGGGAGGCCTCAGGAAACTTACAATCATGGCAGAAGGGAAAGGGGAAGCAAGGCACCTTCTTCACAAGGCAGCAAAAAGAAATGCCAAGCAAAGTGGGAAGAGCTTCTTATAAAACCATCAGATCTCATGAGAAGTCACTCGCTATCACAAGAACAGCACGAGGGAAACTACCCCCATGATTCAATTACTTCCACCTAGTCTCTCCCTTGACAGGTGGGAATTATGTTGATTACAATTCAAGATGAGATTTGGATGGAACACAAAGCCTAGCGACATCAGATGATTACAAAAAGGGAAGCCTCTAAAGTCTAAGGCAGTCTCCTCAGAGCACCTGTTTAGTAAACCAAGTGTGTGCCACATTATATTTTTTGTACCATCCACCAGACACTTTTGACGGCCATTTTATTGGAACTTAGGTCATTCTAATATTAGCCAGATTTATTTCATTTAGAAATGTGGAATAACTAAAGAATTATCCTTGTCCTATAAATCAATTAGGAAAAAAATGGAAGAAAAAGACAAAGGAAGGAAGGAAGAGGAGAAAGGCAAACAGGCATTAGAAATATCAAGACTATTGTTAATCAAAGAAATGATGAACTAAAAATAAAATGGAAACAAAAACTATGGAAGCTGGTAAAATACTTTTTTAACAAATGTGAAGGTATTTTAGAGTTATTAAAGCAGTGAGAATTTGTGGGAACAAAATTTGGAGAAGGAGGGAAGATGAAAGGTGAGTTCAGATTTTATGGTTACTTTTTTCCTTTCAGATGATAACTGATTCTGGAAACAAAACTGGCTACTGGGCTATCTAATAACTGAGCACAGATTTTGGAAGACACAAATCTTGGAGGCCGAAATGTGAATTCAAGACATTTATTTAAGGAGGAGGGACTCTAGCAAAATCCCCCCAACTTTCCATTCAGATCCTGAAAATCTATATCTTAGAAATAAGGCAAATGATGACTAGGTTGGTTCTCACAAAAATTAAAGGTCAGCTTTAAGTCATTTCAATACTGACTGGATTTTAAATTTCTAACAGTCAGCCCAGGTCCATGTTAGCTGCATAAAACCTCTCTACAGGGTGGACAACATCCAGAACCTCAAATTTTCTACATTTTTAAATAAACCATGTCTGAGATTCAAACAAAAAAAAAGTCTTTTAAAAACACAAGATTTACGCAAGGAAGACAAATATAGAAATAAATACCGCCTACCCTTGTTTATACGACTGTACAAACATCCTTGATGTAAGGATGTTTTGATGTTTTCAAACATTTCAAACATTTTTTAACCCTTTAAAAAAGAATATATGACAGAGAATTATAAATCCTGTAAAGCCTAAATTACTTGTTATTTTGCCCTTCATAGAAAAAAAAATTGCAGACCCCCTGATGTATGTAACTGGAGTCCCCAAAAGAGAAAAAAGAGCAAATGAGACAGGAGCAATATTTTAAGACACGGTTCTATGTTCTATAGTTAATGTAAACTATAAGACAGATAACAGAAGCAATATGCAAATCAGCAAGATAAGTATTTTTAAAGTATATTAGTATGTTGTAGTAAATTAATAAATATCAAAGATAATAGAGTCCAATGCAAAAAAGTGTTATATTACCTTTAAAAAAGGAATACAAGTACTGAGAGTTGATTTCTCAAGAGATAAATAGAAGCTAGAAGACTCTAATTATAAACTCAAAGCTCTAAAAAAAGAAAACAATATCAACCAGGAATTTTATAAGTGTAAAAACTGCAAACAAATCAAAACAGAAAACTTGACACAAGCAGATGTACCTCACATAAAATAATAAAGAATATTATTCAAAGAGAAGAAAAATAATCCCAGAGGAAACACAGAGAGAGATGCAGAAACAACAGAAAGTGGAAAATATTGATTGACAAATAATGAGTGTGGAAACAGTAATAACATAATAAAACATCTTGTAAGTTTTAAACAAATACAGAATTTATACAAAAAGAAAAATAGCTCTTACGACAGGCAGTATGAAAGCTCCTAAAGCCTTTGAATTTTCTGAGAAGTGGTAAAATTATTAATTTATAAGTCATAAAATAAAGAGAAAGGTTTTCATCACTATACACTCACTAACATAAATTAATAAATTTAAACCTAAAAGCACTACTAACTACATTAAACATGAATTGAATAGTTTAGTTAAAATATAAAGATTATTAGAATGGATTTAAAAAACAACTACAAAATAGTTCGAAGGACATAATATTAGAATTCTAAAATTTTAAAGTAAAGGAATGGAAAAAGATATACCATGCAATTACTAAGTAATTGTAGTAAAGTAAAAAAAGCTGGTGCTTTCTCCACCACTGATGAGTCTAGTATTGTAGGGCCTACTGGGTTATTTTAAGAAAGAAACAGAACTGCTTCAACTGCCGCCTAAACCTCTTTCAAAGCCCTTTACAGCAAGTAGTTAGTGGAGATAAATTAAGATATTCAGAATGGTAAATGTGACTTTCCACCAGGGAGAACTTTTATATATTCATATAGATTGTATATATTTATAGAGAAATATATATATTCTCAAAACTTAGTAGGCAAGATTAACAAATCTAAAAGAAAAAGAGTCAGATCCTCAATCACATTGGGAAATTGTAATAAAGCTTTTAAAGATTAATTTAAAAAGGCATAAAACAAATATTACCAATACTATAGAAGGTTTCAATAGTACAATTAGCTTTTTTGACCTAACAATATATATTAAAAACACCTGCAGTATCACCTGGTTAGATGTTATTTTCCACTGCATATATAAATCACTCATATTAGCTATGTGAGGTTTCTGAAAATAAGTAATCAAATTTTAAATTCAGAAATCATGAAAACTGTTTTTTGACCACATAGAAATTATGCTAAAAAATAATTTTAAAAATGAAAACTAAAAACATTGCACCTTTTAAGCTGCATATGACTAAATTACCCAGAAATTATATGAGAAATTAAATTAAAAGTAGAAAATATATTAACAAAGCACCTATAATGATAAAAACTGTGAGATACAGTTAAAGCTATGTTTAGACAGTTTTATAGTATTGCTAGATATATTATTTAAAAAGGTGAAAATCAATGCTTACATTTTAATAAGCTAGTAAAAAATATCAAATAAGACTCGAAGAAAGTAGAAGAAACAGTTTAAAGGAATTGAGAACAAATATTTAACGTTCAACTAAACCAAAGTCATTTTAAATATATTAATAACACTTTATTAAGACTGGCCCAAAAAACAGAAAAAAGTAAAAAGAATCAATATGGGGAATATAAGAGAGCACATTGGGTCAGGGAATAAACATATTAAAAAGAATTAAAATACAATCAAGTACTTTATAACACTATATTTGAACATTTATATTAAATGAACAAAGACCTTAAAGAACAAATTACCAAAATTGGCTCTATGGAAAACAGAAGACTATTTCTATATTTATTAATAAATTCAATCTGTAATTTTAAAATATCCCACAAAGAAAATTCCAGGCCTAGGTGACTCCATCAATTAATACTAGCAAAGTTTACAGAAAGATAAAACCTACATATCTCTTCCACAGGATGGAAAAAGTAGAAAGAATCCCCAATTCATTTTATAAGACCAGCATAACCTTAATAATAAAACCGAAAAGGGACATCAGAGGATAGAAAAATTACAAATCAATCTCTCCAAAGAAAATAAAATTTCTAAAACAAATATACATATTTTTGCCTTTTTATGTGTTCATTTCTTACACACTGATGCACCAAGAGGTGTATGTATATATATATATATATACACACACACATATATACACATATACATACACATATATACATATATATAATATAAACCAATAAAATAGAATAAAGTAGAAAATCATAATTATTTCAAGAGGAAGAAATTGCATTGAACAAATTCTGTGTCTATTCATAATAAAAATAAGAATTCATATTAAACTATAAATAAAAAAGATCTTCCTTGCCTAATGAAAGATGTTTATAAAGTAATTATAGTGGCCAGGTGGGGTGCCTCTCACCTGTAATCCTAGCACTTCCAGAGACCAAGGTGGGCAGATCACTTGAGGTCAGGAGTTTGAGATCAGCCTGGCCAACATAACAAAACCTCTTGTCTACTACAAATACAAAAATTAGCCGGGCAATGTGGTGTGCACCTGTAATCCCAGCTCCTCAGGAGGCTGAGACATGAGAATCACCTGAACCTGGGAGGCAGAGGTTGCAGTGAGCTGAGATGCAGTGCCACTGCATTCCAGCCTGGGCAATAGAGTGAGACTCTGTCTCAAAAAAATAAATAATAAATAAATAAATTAAATAATTATAATAACTATCATAATAAATTGAACTGAAAAATGTCAAAAGCTTTCTCTCCTAAATAAAGAATAGATAATATTAAGATGCCTGCTATCTCAGCTTCTATTTAACATCCTACTGTATGTTTCTGAAAGCATGACAAAGAAAATAAAATTGTAAGTATTGATTAAAAAAAGTAAGAGTGACATCATATTCAAGTGACATAAGGATGAATGCAGAAAACCACATATATTCTACATGAAAACTATTAATATCAGTGAGGAAATTTGTAAGTTTGTGGGATACGAGGTGAATATAAATAAAATTGTTTTGTTATTTCCAGGAACAAATAGAACATAAAATTTTAAAATATCTAAAAATAGATATTATTTAAAATAGCATAAAAATCAAATGATTCAGAATAAATTTAAAGAAAGAAGGGTGAAAGAATTGTGCAGAAAAATATGAAATATTACTGAGAGAAATTTTTGAAGCCCTTAATAGAGGAATATAAAATATGTATCTATCAAGAGATTCAATATTAAGATATGCATTCACCCAAAATTGATCTATTTATTCAAGGCAGTGCCACGATTTCAGTAACATTTTAGCATAAATTAACAAGTTTAACCTAAAATGTATGTGGAAATAAAAGAATAGCAAAAGAAACCTGAAGGAGAAAAAATTTCAAACATACAAGACTCCATGTATCTATCACCTAATCATCATAAAGCTTTAATTTGACTCTGGGGCTAATGTCACACTTAAAACAAGCAAATAAACAAAAACTTTATTTCTGAGAAAAGTTCTAGATTTATAGAAAAATTGAGAAGATCATACAATGTGTTTCCATACACCTTGCATCCAATTTCCCCTATTACTGACAACTTATATTAGTGTGCTATTATTTGCGAACCAACCAATGAATAAACTAACCACTAAAGGATGAGTTTTTCATTGTTTATGAAACAAGGACTGATCTGTTTTAGTTACATTGTCATAGTCAAAAAAAAAAAACAAAAAAAACCTCCTACTCCTTTACCAGGTCAAACCCAAGATCCTCATGTCATTTTGTCAATTTAAACAAAAGCCTTGTGACATAAAACTGTAATTAAGACCCCAAGCCCACCACACTAAATGGACTCTCTTTGGTTAATAGAGATGCCCAAATTTAGATAACAGAACCAAAAGGCCATAGAGAAGAGAGAGAAGAGTGGTCGTGCGCCCTGCCCCTTGTTCTCGGAAAAGGCAGCTCTTGACACACATTTTGTTTTATACCATTGAGCAAGAACAGTTTCTGGGAGAGCCAAGGAAACCTCTGCCAAAAATCCACTCCACTCCCACCTCTAACACACACACACACACATGCATACACACACACATACACACACACACACACACACATATTGCAGTTTGAAAGAAACATCTGGCAGTCTGGGTTTGGATTTGGACTTGGGAAGCCATATGATCAGGACTCAATTATCTCAACCAATCAGAACTGAACAAGCCTGAATCCCTCCTTTAGCTTAAACAGACCTGATTGAGAAATAGGGCAAGAACTTTCCCTACTACAGCCAAAACTCTTTGCACAGCACACTTTCTACTGAACGCAGTGCCTCTCCAATGTGCAGACTGATTTTTTTGTAGAAAATACCGCCCTCCCTTTTTCCTCCACAGCTCTCATGGGCTTTTGGTAACAGCTTTCAGAAACGATAGCTCTGGACTAGGCTTTGCAGAACCTGTTAAATCTTTCTACTGTGGTGGTTCCTATACCTCTTTGTCAATGTCAACCACAAGTTGAATTGTGGAATATTTTTTAAAAAATCAATTAACAAGTTGGTATCCATTACGAAACTTTAAATGCAACACTCAAACTTCTGTAATTGTCAAATACGTGATCTGATGAGCATTGTTTATTTTATACATTTATTCTGACCTGCACAGAACATCTATTCAGTAAATATTTGTTGAATGTACAAATAAATATGGCACAGATAATGTATTACGTACTCCTGTGGTCACTCCCAAGGCAACTATTTGACTGGTGGGTATTCCAATTATACTATGGTCTATTTTAACATGTTTACTTGTCTGAGCCTTTTGATTACTTCGAGATGCAATTCTGGCATCTGCCATAGGATATTATTCTAATACTACCCTAGTTATTAGTCTGATGGCAAAGTGGGCATGTACGTTGCCAGGAAATGCAAATGTTGTCTGGTAATGCCACTGCTTCATCTGAGCCCTCTTTACAGTATTCAGGCAAGGGATTAGAGGCAGGTATTCTCTACAAGGGCAAATGGGGCACTGCTATGGTTTCAATATTTGTCCCCTACAAAACTCATGTTGAAATTTAATTGCCATTTTAACAGTATTAGGAGATGGGACCTTTAAGAGCTGAGTAGGCCATGAAAGCTCTGCCTTCATGAATGAATTAATGCTGTTATTGCTAGAGTAGTTTCCTCATAAAAGGATGAGTTTGACCCTCTCTTGATCTCTCACCCTGTCTTTGCACTTTCATCATGGGATGATTCAGCAAGAAGAGCTTCACAAGTTGCCAGCACCTTGATATTGAATTTTTCTGCCTCCAGAGCTGTGAGCCAATCAATTTCTACTCATGATAAATTATGTAGTCTGTGGTATTCTGTTACAGCAGCACAAAATGGACTAAGATAGACCATGGGATCATGCAGGCCCAGGGGATTTGGGGCAAAATGGTAGTTTAAAGTTTTTATCTATCTGTACCCAAATATCTCCTTTCAAGTCCTAGGGTTTTATTTCTCCTTTATTAACAGCCTGAATATAGTGTATATAACTTTCCCAGATTATAATGCTTTGCTTTAAATTATGCTACTCTTAAAATTTAGTCCTGAGCCTGGTCTTCAGCACAATTCTCTTGCTCACAAAAATGAGGGTATCTTTTACTACTGCAAAGCTGCTCTGTGCCTTTCACTATTTGCTTGAAATTGATGATTAATAAATTATCCATGGTTTGTTGTTTTATCTCTGCATAGATGCATCAATGGTACTCAACAAAAGCCTCTTATCAATAGCCACTCAGTTCCACAGCATTTTAAATTAATATCTGCCTTATATCCCTCAAATGGCAGAGACTATGCACAAGGTAATGAACCATCTTCTACCTGTTCTATGGGTCAGAGATTATCAATGCTCTACCTATTACCAGTGATGGAGTCCTCATTATCTACTTGCTGGTAAATGATCCATGATCAGTATCCTGTACTTAAAGAGTCTTTTTCCTACTCCTATCCCCAACTGTCTATAGTTGGTGTGACAGGCAAAACAATGCACACCCCCTGCAAAGATGTCCACATTCTAATCCCCAGAACCTTTGAATATATTGCATTCCCTAGAAAGGGGGAAATGAGATTGCAACTGTAATTAAGGTCACTAATCAACTGACCTTAAAACAAGAAAAGTAACCTGGGTTATCCAGGTGTGCCCGATGTAATCACCGGCGTTCTTAAAAGTGAAAGAGGGAGGAAGAAGAGTGGTCACAGGGATGTAATATGAAAAAGACTTTAGTCTTCATTGCTGACTTTGAAGATGGAGGCCATAAACCAAGGAATGTGGGCTCCATACCTGAAGAAGCTGGGAATGGCAAGAAAACAGATTTTCCCCTAGAGCCACGAGAATATAATGCAACCCTGACAACACCCGATTTTTGTGAAATTACATGTTAAATTTCGGACATACCTAAACATAAGATAATAAATATGTAATTTGTTACAACAGAAATAGGAAACTATTGCTACCAACTGGCTGAGAAGTAACCTGTAATATATGGATCCATCAGCATGTGAGCGTTCTGTGGAGCTTAGTAAAGAGAGCGTTCTGTGGAGAAACTTGTAAGGGAGTAAGGGATGCAGGATCGAGCAAGAGAAGAAACTAGGTAAATACACAGTTTCAACAAGTAAGGTCTCAGCTCAATCCCATGGAGAGTTTGGCAGTGATTTGTGTGAGTTTTCACACCCAGAAAGCCGTTATATCACTGCATATATTAATCATTGGCTATACCTCCAAGTAGTGTGATATCCTTCCTTCAAAGGCAATATTCTGTGAAGCCTTCCACAGAGGACTCCACTACTCATACATGCCGAAGGATGCAGGTGCAATTCCTTATCATTCAGCACTTGCAGCAACTGAGAGTGAAATGCATAGGCCCATTGTAATTTCAAGGTCACAATTCCTGATGTAGAATGTTGATTCTTCATTTATTTCAGCGGGGGACCTTGGTAAATCACTTGTGTCTCACTTTCTTAATCTGATAATACATATCAATCTCACTGGAGCATTATGAGGCTCAAACACAGTCATTCACTATTGATATTTTCTTTCACATGAATCGGTCAAGTGTTTGTACTCTGCACATGTGCTATGTCTGAGAAAACATCAGTGTAATCTCCAAAGGCCATTTCCTTTACCTCTGTGTGAATACGTAAAGTAAGCTCCAAACCTCCCTTAAAGTTTTATGGGGCTATGTGACTGTTCTGGCTGTTGAAATGGGGCCAATGTAACATATTCTACTTCTTATCCAGATACTTAAAAATCTTTCATGTGTCCATTAGTTCTTCTTTTACTTTGGTATCTGGCAAATAAAAGTTAAAAAAGCTAAACAGAATGTGTATATATATTTTTAGATGTATATTTCTAAATGGAGCTGGAATGTTTTAGAAAATGCTATAGGTATTATATTGAAGGAGCTGAAATTTTTTAATTACTTCATGGAGAAGAACTCACCTGCTGAGCATGATGGATTGTGGCATAGATGAGAAATAAAATATATTATTGAAGTCACTGAGATTTGGGAGAAAACATGAAGTCAGGGTTTTCTGACTTTTTCAAGTAAATATGCATCACTGACTTTAAGATGTAACAAGCAAGAGACTATGAGTGCAGTATCCAAATCATATTACCCATAAGGTTAACATAGTCACAAGCATAGAGTCAGCTGGTGTTAGCCAATAATAATATTGTCATACTCTGATAACATTTTATAATAATATAATGCAACACACTGCATTGAATAATAACCACTAACATCTATTGATTGCATAATATATGCCAGGCACTATGTCAAACAAATTTCACTTATGATAAAATTTAATCCTATCAAGGCAGATGAAAATATTATCCGTATTTTACAGACAGAGATTGAAGTTCAGAAAGTTTACATAATGCATAAGTAGTTAATGTGTTATAGAAAATAATTTGAACCATGTTCATCTGAATTTGCAAACTCTTGTTCTTAGCTACCTCATGAAATTATAGCATAAGAGAGAGAGCTAAAATAACATCCAGGACACCAGGAATCTGACATCCAGTTACTAATACTAAATTTAACTGGCTGATATAGCTTAAGTACTTTATCTCTCTGGATCTTAGACTTTAAAGCTCTTTACAGTGGCATTTTGTGATTCCAACTCAGAAGTGAGATGTTTATAACTTCAGAGATCCAACGACTATCTAAATCAGGTGTGCTTAATGTTTTGTGTCATTTCCTTACTTAGAGAATCCATCTTAAATGTCTAACTTTTGGAGTTTGGGATAAAAAAATAAAAAGTAAAACAAGTACTCATCTCTGTATGATGATTTTCTTTTAGAGAATATTGGATTTTTTAGCACTTGGAAAACAGAAAAGCAAAAGTCATGTTGTTCTGTTTAGGATTTGGAGACTGAACTCCCATAAGTTGAAAAACATACAGTGGGTTAAAGATAACTTTTCCAATTAATGTAAGACCCGAATAGAGACATTTATTTAATAAGCTCATTTTTTTCTAGGTCAAACAAAGTAGTTGAACCACTTGGACAGTCTTAGGAAAAAACAAGCCATTAGAAAATAAACATGTTTAATCTAGCAACCTGATGGAAGAGCCAATAAGGAAAAGATATGTATCTTTGCCGGAATTAGGTATCAGGTCTAAGAGCATCTTAGGTGTACCATCTTGCTTTGCAGAGGCTGCTCTGGGACCCAGCTCAAACTTGACAATTATTTAAATGACAGCAAGTCAAACAACAAGCTCCCAAGAGCAATCAAGAAATGTCCTTTATTTTAATTTTAATTTTAATTTAATTTAATTTAATTTTAGAGATGGAATCTCGCTGTGTCACCCAAGCTGGGGTGCAGTGGCACAATCTCAACTCGCTGCAACCTCCGCCTCCTGAGTTCATGAGATTCTCCTGCCTCAGCCTCCCGAGTAGCTGGGAATACAGGCGTGTGCTACCATACCCTGCTAATATTTGTATTTTTAGTAGAGACGGGATTTCACCATGTTGACCAGGCTGGTCAAGAACTCCTGACCTCAGGTGATCAGCCCACCTCAGCCTCCCAAAGTCCTGGGATTACAGGTGTGAGCCACCGCACCCAACAAAGAAATGTTCTTTATATACATCCATTGTGAGTGTCTAAAATATTGAGAAAAAATTTTGTCTTCCTGAGAAATTGCTTATCTTAGAGGCAAATATAAAATAATAATTATATGAGAAATAGATGTTTTACTATTTATGCCATTTCTCCCATAATACTCCAAAAACTGGCCTCCTGTCTTAGGTGCCTGATAAATAAATAAGTAGATAAATAAAGTTTAATTACATCGTATGTGTGGGGAAAGAAAAATAGAATATACAAACAACTGTACAATACCTGGAAATAGACTATTTGTTCATACACAAATTATTTTAGAAAAGGTATAATTTAAAAATTATCCAGAATATTCTTCTTGTTTATATTAAAATTCTATACAAATATAAATATGCCTATGAAAGCTTGCTTACATCCGTGTATATTTTCATTTACTTACGGTATTATATATCCAAACTAAACTGAAATTTTATGCTTCCTTTCAATGTAACATTTGTATTTAAAAGTCTAGTTTGACCTCAAATCATCTTTGTTTCAGCAGCTCTAGGGAGTATTGAGTAACCTTTTGCAACATTTATGCCTTTCTAATTTGAACAGTGAGAGTGCTTTAAAACATAGTTTGTTAATAGATTTTTAAATCAGGTTTTTTAAAAAAATTTGTTTATAATAGCATTTTAAACAATTTTTAAAATTGCTGTCTTTCAACACTAATGCTACTTCTGAGTGAAGATGTTCAAAAAGAGAGGGCTGCTATCTCTGGGCCATAGTATGGTGCTGAGAAAAAAGAAAATCCATTTATTCACAATCTGTGTGTATTCATATCAACTGTGGAACTAAATTTTTTGATAAAAACAAAATACATTCACAGATTTTCAGAAGAATCTAGTGCTTTCTAGATAAATTTCATACAGGCTTACTATATCCATCCAAATACATTTAAATTCTAAATGGCAGTATACAGTCTTAGCCTGGAATCCACTTTCAACATGATTAAGGTCTTTACCAATAATATTACTACTAGGAAATTGAGACAAAGATTCAAGCTAAAAATGATGTCAAATCTTCTTTAAATCAAGTGAGTGGCAGTTACTCTTTATCACATGGAAAAGATAGGAAAAGGCTTTCTCTTTCATAATTGGATTAAACCTAGATGGAAAAAAAATTTCCTCCTTTTGTTTACCTTAGCTATCTAAGCTACTCACAGTGTCACTCTCCTCAGCCTCACATAATCAATAGCTGCTTCCTGCTTGGTTATATTGTGTCAACTTCCTACTTACACATATTTTGGGGGAATATAGCATTGTCAGAGGTTCTGCTCCCTCACTGCAGAGTGCTAACTAGTCAACTCCATATCATACTCAATTACAAGTCACTTGATATTAGACATGGCTTATTTCAGTCCATGATATTCTTCAGATGACTTCTACTGAAAGTGATGAACCAGCCATTCTCACATGTTTGTCCCAATTCCTTCATAATTCTCATATTTAAGGATTTTTATATGTATACATTTATTAGTTTTACTGAGGCATAATTGATAAACAAAAATTGTGTACACTTCTCATATATGTCTTGATGAGTTTTTACATATGCATACATCCATAATACCATCATCACAACTAAGGTACTAAACATAATAATTACTTCCAAAAATGTCCTTGTGTTTTGTGTAGGTGTGTATGAGAGTGTGTGTCTGTTTGTTTTAGTGAGAGCACTTAACATGAGATCTGTCTCCTTAATACATTTTAAAGTGCACAATACCATATTGTTAACTATAGGTACTATGTTGTACAGATCTCTAGAACTTATTCATCTGGTATTAATATATATATATATATTTATATGGTAAATATTTATATATAAATATATTTATATTACATATAGCTATACAGCTATATACACGTATAATATTACAATATTACACACACATATATATGCGTGTGTGTGTGTGTATATATATATACACATCTATATACTCCCAGTTCCTGGCAACCACCATTCTACTCTCTGCTTCTATGAGTTTATTTTTCTTTTTTATTTTAGATCCCTCATACAAGTGAAATCATGCAGTTATTTGTTCTTCTGTGACAGTCTTATTTCGCTCAGTATAATGTCTTCTAGGTCCATCCATGTTGTCACATACTTCAGGATTTTCTTTTTCTAAGGCTGAGAAATACTCCATTGTATGTATATACCACAATGTATTTGTTCATTCATCTCTTGATGTACATTTAAGGTTGCTTTCATATTTTGCCTATTATGAATAATGTTGCCATGAATGTGGGGGTGCAGATATATCTTTGAGATCCTGATTTCATTTTTTTATATAATCCAAAAATGGGATTGCTGAATCATTCATAGTTCTATTTTTACCTTTTAAAGGAAGCTCTATACGGTTTTCCTTAATGACTGCACCTTTCTACATTCCCACCAATAGTGTACTACATAAGGGTTTCAATTTCTCCATGCCCTTGACAACATTTATCATATATACGATATGTGTTGTCGTATATCATATGAAACATGTATATAAATTGTGCATGTGTTTATATATAATAGCTATTCTAGTAGGTGTGAGGTGATATCTCATTGTGGTTTTGATATGCATTTTCCTTGTATAGAGCACCTTTCAATATACTAAAAGGCTATTTGTATGTTTTCTTTGGAGAAATATCTACTCATTTCCATTGCCCATATTTTAAATTTCATTTTTAGTTGACAAATAATAATGGTATATTCTTCTGTGACACAATGTGATGTTTCAATACATGTATACAATGTGAAATGATTGAATTGGGATGTTTAGTATATCCATCACCTCAAATATATATATATATATATCACTTTTTGTGATAAGGACATTTTAAATCCCATTTTAGTTATATAGAAATAAAATATTATTATTAACTATAGTCTCCATACTGTGCAATGGAACACCAGAACTTATTCCTTCTATCTAACTGAAACTTATTCCTTCTAACTGACCAACATATGCCCTTTTCCCACACATCTCTCCACCATCCTATCACCTCCAAACTCTGGAAACCACCATTCTAGCTCTACTTCTATGAGTTTAACACGTTTAGATTTCACACATAAGTGAGATTATATCGTATTGGTCTCTCAGTGCCTGGTACATTTTACTTATTTGTTTTATGGTCTGGTTTCTGTTTTTGTTTTTGCTATTCAGATATAGGACAGTCTTATATATTTTATATATTAATTCCTTCTCAGACAGTTTGCAAATATTATTTTCCACTCTGTAGATCACATTTTCACTTTATTGATGATTTGCTTTGTTGTGCAGAAGCTTTTTAGGTTTATGTAGTCACAGTTGACTATTTTTGGTTCTGTTGCTTCTGTTTTTGGTGTCAAATTTAATAAGTCATTCCCAAGAATAATTTCAAGTAGTTTTCCACTATATTTTCTTCCAGAAGTGATATGTTTCAGGTCATATGTTTATATATTTAATCTATTTAAGTTTGTGTATATATGGTGTAATAGAGGGTTTCAAATTCATTATTTTGCTTGTACAGTGAAAACTGTAAAACACTTAAGAAATTAAGCAATCACTAATAAATGGAAAGATGTCCCATGTTCATGGATTAGAAGAATTAATATTGTTAAAATGCCTGCACTATCCAAAGGGATATACAGATTAATGCAATTTCTATTCAAATCCTATTGGCATTTTTTACAGAAATAGGAAACACAATCCTAAAATTTATATGAAGCTGCAAAATACTGCTGAACAGCCAGAGCAATCTTGAGAATGAACAGAGTTGAAGGTATCATACTTGTTGTTTCAGAATACATTACACAGCTACAGTAATTAAAAGAGTTTGTTACTGGCATAAATACATACATATAGATCAATGAAACAGAATAGAAGGTTCAGAAATATATCTACATATACATGGTCAGCTGATCTACAGCAAGGGTGTCAAGAGCACACAAAAGAAAAAAAAAAGACAGTCTTTTGCATGAATTTATATTTAGGTTGCCTTTCCACTCCTCTCCAACTTCGTTAGATGATATCCACTCTTGGCAGCCTTGGAGTCTGGGTTAACTAAGGACTATAGCTGACTCTCACACCACCTTACATTTGATACTGGCCTGTTTAGTTTTCTGTAGCCTTAATAACTGCCTCTTCACCTAACTTGACCACCACTTACCACCTATTTATCAGATTTAGTGAATTTTGTGATGCCTTTTTTCACCTTTTGCAGCATGACACCCGTATCATTTTAAACTTTGTACAGATGATGTTTTTACCTTCAGTAGCTCCCGTAATCTAAAATGAGTTCCCCCTTCCTTCTTACTGTGAACCTCAGAGCCTCTATCTTCACAGCCCAAATGCCCTAGCTAAAACAGCCTCTGCCATGTTCCTCCTGAATGTATGAGAGAGAGGTAATACAGAATAGCTCCTCCTTGATTCCTGAGCTGTGATCCTTTCTTAAGCATCTAACAGTACAGAACAATCAACATTCACTATTAACTACTGTTTACTGACAGACCATATGAGGAAGTGGCTTTTACTATTCTACCATTAGTAAAAATAACACAATTTCTTTAAAAAATATATTATCTGCTTATCTTTGAGAGGTATTTAATGTAGTAGGAAAACTTGCTCTCAAATAAAAAGTAATTGCCATAAGACCATTCAAGGACTCTCTGCATTCAATTTGATTAAATTAAAATATGTCTCTACCAGAGGAACCAGCTTAGGAAAATATTTAAAGTGAAGAGCAAATGAGTGTTCATTTCTTCTGTATATATAAAAAACTAAGAATTGATAACTTTCATAGCTCAATTCACATATTTTATCTCTTTGCCTTCCAAGTGGTATCGCTTTAAATTAGCTCCACATGAGAAACAAACTGAAAAAAATAAATGATATTATTGGAACAGACTTTTTGTATGCTATGATATGGACGACAGACTGCAAGTTGCTAGACCTGCTAGACCACAGTCTATTTTCTGCATCTAGACATATTTGATGTGCGCCATATATTCTTGTCTTGGGCAATTTTGTTTTTAATTTTGTGCCAACATTCAAGTTTTAGGAGAATCCAATATAAATTGACATGCATTTTTTCTTCATGTAAATAATCAAAATATCTGACAGCATCAGGCTGAGACAAGAAGTCTTTTCAAAACACTAAAGGAGCGTGCTGATGGTCGTACATATACATAAATGTTTATAGCAAGACATGAGTGGTTCCACAGCTTCAAAAGGCGTCATGGTTTTCACAATGTGAAAGTGAGCAGTAAGGCAGAAAGTGCTGATACTGAAGGTGCCAAAACTTTTAAGAAAGAGCTGCATGAGATAATTGTAAATGAGAAATATTTGCCAGGACAAATAATAATGATGAAAAAAACTTGTTCTGGAAGTGTATATTTTAACTGTCATACATTGATCAAGAGTCCAGGGTGGCAGAATTTAAGGCATTCAAAGCCTACGTAATGGCTGCTTTTCAGTAGAAATATTGCAAGGTTCAAATTAATTACTATCCTAATCTACCTCTTGGAGAACTCTAGAGCATTCAAGAATATGGAAAACATATGCCTCCTGCTTACTATCTACATGAAGAAAGCCTAGATGACATCAACCTTATTCAAAGACTGATTTTTGAACTCTTTTATTCTATAGGTAAGAGAATATTGTAGGCAAAATAGCTCTCATTCAAATTTCTTATCATAGACAATGCCTTGGGGTGTCCACAGCTTATTAATGGCATGCAGTCTGATGTAAAGGTTGTGAATTTGCCACTGAAAACAACTTCACACATTCAACCAATAAGGCACAATAGCTGCCTTCAAATATTATTTAGACGAAACATTTGTGCAGGCAATTGAAGCAACTGAATGTGGCCAAACACTGATAGTTTTGGAGAGGTTTTAACATTCTAAATGTTTGTCTGAAACATGGCTGTAGTATGGGAAGAAGTAACACAACAACACATAATCAACATTAGGAAGAAAGATTTGAAGACATGTGAACACATTCAAAGGCTTTAACAAAGATTCTGCTATTGATAAAATAGTAAATAACAAGATATTAGTGGCTGGGAAACAGAACTGGGCATTGACGAAGAGGATATTCATGAGCTTGTTGGCATTGAGGCTGAAGGATTTTCCAGTGAAGCACTGTTCAAACTGAAGAAAGAAGTAAAGAAGTTGAGGTAGAGGAAGAATAAATTATACCCGAGGCACTAAGAAAGTTCACAGAGAAGAAATTGGTGAAGGTGTTTGCTACTGTCAGTGGTAGCATACCGAAGTTAGAAGAAATAAACATCAATTAGGAGAGATTCTCAAGAGCTGACAGGCAGATACAGGATGCTCTTGCTTGCTCTAGAGACATATATAAAGCAAAGAAGAAGCAAAAGATACAGTCAAAACTTAATGTCGTTCTGAAGAACACTATGCCTGCTAACCCATCAACAAGTATGAATGTCCTAGTGCCTTCTATTAGCTACTCAGGAGCCTCATTAGAAAAGAGGTAAGTTGATGACTCTGTCACTGAAGCATCCCTATCATCCAGCAATTAATTTTACTTCAATGCCTCAAATATTCTTCAGGCACAGTGTGCTTTCGGCTGTGTACATTCATGGTGAGTAACCATAAAATCATCCTGTTTTTCATTTTCAGTACAGTATTACATGATACATATCATTATCTATCACAAAGTATACTTTATAATTATAAACAGAAAGAAAATATATCATTTTGGGAGAAGCACCATTTATATGTGCAGTCTTCATACAGCTTACTATATAGTCTATTAAATTATGTAGAATAAACAAAACTAAGACAAGTAAAGAAACAGATTTTTATTTCCTCACAATAAAACTGTAAGAATAATAGTGGAAAAATGTTTCCTCCTTGCCAATACAAAATAGTTATTTTTAATACAGATGACTATGCCAATTATGAGTACTTTTGTAAGTGTAGGTTGGTTAAAGCAAAAAATTTCTGAAAAAGACTCATTTCAGATTTGAGTCTTTTGTCAAATATATTACTTATAAATATTTTCATTAATCCTTTCACTTTTTTATGCATTTTATGATCTCATTTGATAAAGAAAAGTTTTAAATTATTATCAAATCTGTTTTACTGTTGTTTTTCTTTTGCTCTTATTATTTTTTGAGCCCTTCTAAGAAATCTCTGCCAATCCCATGTTATAAAGTTATGCTGCCTTCTAAAATTTAAAATGTGTAATATCAGGTGAGAGAAGGTCAAAGTTTAATTTTTTTCCATGGGATTACTGGAAACAAAGCTCTCATTCTTTAATGCCAATTTTTTTCCATATCTTTGTGAATATATTGTTCCAGCACCATTTGCTTAAAACATCATCCTTTTCCCATTCAATTGCTTTGGCATTTTTGTTGTAAATCAATTAACCATAAAATTATGAGTCTGAATCTGAATTTACTATTTTGTGTATTGATTTATCTGTCCACATAATGCAAATACCAAACTATTTGATTGTCATAGTATTATGGTAAGCCTGGTGTTCAAATGCACAAATTTTCCAATTTTGTTTGTTTTTGAAATTATTTTTCTAATTCCATGTCTATTGCAAATTCTTGTGAAATTTACAGTCAGCTTCTTATTTATTTTGTTTACAAATGTCTGTTTTAATTATTAGAATCACATTAAATCTGTAAATAGAACTAAAAGTATTGAAAACAGTATAATGCATATCATAATATATCAAAGAACATAATATATTCCTCCATTTCAGTGTAGAGATTTTTTCCTTAATTGCTTTATCTTTTGATATTATTTAAGTATAATTGCTACTTTTAATTTAATAATCAAATTGTGTGTTGCTGATATGTAAAATAAAATAGATTCTTGTATGTGAACCTTGTACCTCACACCATGTTAATCTTGGTTACTAGTTATAGTTTGTTTTGTTTTTTAAAAAATTCTTAGGATAGTCTTTGTAAAAATTATGTCATCTCTGAATATATATAGCTTTTATTATTCTTTTTGAATCTTTGCTTCTTATTTCTTTTACTTGCCTTATTGTACTGGTAAAGATCTCCTGTATAAAGTGGATATAAATGGTAAGAATGACAACCTTGCCTTATATCTAATCTTATGCGGAAAGTATTCAGTGTTTTACTTTTATGTATACTTTATCTCTGGATTTTGTTTAGAAGTTCTTTATCAGAGTAAGAATGTTTCTGTAAATTTGTAGTTTTCTGAGAAATTGTATTAGAAAACTCATTTTCACCTAAATTGCCTAATTTTAACACAGAAAGCTTATACATTCCTTTTTTACTCAGATGATATAGAAGAATCTTTCATAAAAATGAAAGTGTCAATGAAACACAAACTCAAAAATTATAAATTCATATGCAACTAGTAATATGTTATGATAATACATGAACTAAAAGCTAACATAACAAAAGAAGAAATTTTAAACAGACAAATTACAATCTGGAGACGAGATTTTTAACATCCTTTTTCAATAATTGATGAAAATACTAGACAAAAATCAGCAACAATGTAGAAATCTTAATAAAAGTGTAAACAATTGACCAAATTGACAAGTAGATTTTATTATTACATTACCTAACATGTAAAATATACATTCTTTTCTAAGGGTATTGAGTTTACTATTATATACCTTTTGCTAGGTCATAAAAGAAGTCTCAATATATTTGAAAACACTAAAATTTACCAAGTAGGTTATCTGACTGCAAAGTAATTGACTGATTAATAACTCTAAGATGTCTAGAAAAGACAAATGTATTAGAAAATTAAGCAATACACTTGTAACTTTCATTTTTATGAACTCTCGTTATCTCTTATAGAACTCAAATAAAGTCTATTTTGTTTGCCACTAAAATAATCATTACAAATTTTTTATGGTTAGTGATTTAAGTATCTTTTCATTCCTTTACTTTCAACCTATTTATGTATTTTTTATTTAAGGTATGCTTCTTATACACATATCATAGTTGATTATTCTTTTTATTCTCTATTCACCAAACTTCCAGAGCGTTCAGATTAGAATATTCATTTTACTTTTATTTAATGTAATATCAATCATTTCTTTTTAGATTTGAAATTATTCTTTTTATTGGCTACCTGTCTCGTTGTGTTTTGTTTGTTGTTTGTTGTGATGTCTCTTTAGGGTCCTTCCAGCCTCTGCCCATCAGCTGACTTCAAAGCCAGTGTCACTTAATTTATGTTTTTATTATGACTGCAGCCTGCTTTCAGATGCTTCCCATCAGTTCAGGGTAGAATGAGATAAAAAGAACTACTATGGGCATTACAGAATAGAAATCTATTAGAGAAATAAGATTCACAACATTGTAGGATGAGCTGGGAAAATAAAGGTTCAGACTGGTGATTTGAAGGCTAAGACAATCACTAATCAAAACTAAGAAACTAATGGGTTTAGTTAAGGATATATCTAGGTAGAATATTGAAGATGGCAACTTTCTTCTTTTAGTTGTATATAATGAGGAAAGGAGGTAAGAATATAAAAGAACTAACTATTCATTTAGTTTTCAATCAGAATTTAGAGGAAATGTTACCAACTCGGGACATGAAGGGTGGGAAAATATAACTTTCTCCGTCTCTACTAAAAATACAAAAAATTAGCTGGGCGTGGTGGCGGGCGCCTGTATTCCCAGCTACTCAGGAGGCTGAGGCAGGAGAATGGCGTGAACCCGGGAGGCGGAGCTTGCAGTGAGCGGAGATCGTGCCACTGCCCTCCAGCCTGGGCGACAGTGTAAGACTCCGTCTAAAAAAAAAAAAAAAAAAAAAAGATTTGAGTCTAGAGAAGACCATTTATTACCTAATTCTAGAGGCATGAGTTAGTTTCCATTAAGTAAACTTTTATAGTTCTCTTTTAAATCTTTAAATCTCTTTTTTGCTCTATTTTGAGGAGATAATGGCACCAATTTGGTCATTTCTCCTCAAGTTTGGTAGGAATGTAACTATCACCATATTCTAAAATTTGATTTTTTATTACTAATTTTCACTAGCTTTGAGACTTTAACCAAAATTATGAAGTAACAGCTGTACAGCATTTTATATTACTTTTATAATCTTAGGTCCCACTCCTCAAAGGGGAATTATATGAATTGCTCTTTATTTTCTCAGCATCCCTTATAGAGCAGGCGTAGGTTGCTCACAGATATATTCATGGAAGATGAATCAGAAGTATGCCATAAAAGAGCAATGGAAAAACTGTTTTGCTTTTGGTATCTATTTATCAAAGCAACAGTGTCAGAAAGACCAAAAGACATGTACTTGCATTGTTGTCTGCAGCATCAGCAGTATGCACTATCTGGAGTCCACTGCTTCATGGTGGTCATTGCAATGTCCTAACGATTTTGGGAATATATTTTCTCCTATGATTCTTGTATTAGGGTTCTCTAGAGGGACAGAAATATATATATATATCTCTCTCTATCATTTATAAAGGAGAGTTTATTAAGTATTAACTCACATGATCACAAGGTTCCACAACAGGCCATCTGCAAGCTGAGGAGCAAGGAAGCCAGGCTGAGTCCCAAAGCTGAAGAACTTGGAGTCTGATGTTCAAGGGCAGGAAACAATCAGCATGGAAGACAGATGTAGGCTGGGAGGCTAAGCCAGTCTAGTCTTTACACATTTTTCTGTGTGCTTTTTATTCTGGCCATGCTGGCAGCTGATTAGATTGTGCCCACCTGGATTAAGGGTGGGTCTGTCTTTCCCAGCCCACTCCTAAGGCAATCTCCTAAGGCAACACCCTCACAGACATACTCAGAATCAATACTTTGCATCCTTCAATCCAGTCAAGTTGACACTCAGTATTAACCATCACAATTCGCTTTCTTACAGCCTTTTTTATTGATTACTTTGAGCTTGAGTCTTCAACTCTGAACCCCAAATAAGAATCATGTCTACCTTGCCCAAAAATTGCAGAATTTTTAATATTGCATTTAATATTCCCTTGTTCATTCTTGTACATTCTTTTAATTCACTTAAAGAATATTAATCGTTGCAAATTTTTCCAGTTTCTCTAGATACTTGACTGTTAGAAAAACTCCTCTTCAAATTTATTTAATCAAAGTTGTCTTTTAAAATATATCTGTGGGATAATGTCAATGGTACTGGTCAAAACTCAGGGACTAGAAAATCAGTATTGGGATTGTCTGTCTTGAGGAATACTTGAGAAGCACTGGATTTCCATCTGTGCAAAATTACGTGCCACAAACGGACAAGGCAAGAAACTTTTTCTATGTACTGTTTGTACTACAGGGATTCAGATATGATACCTGGTCTGAAATGTGAGGCAAATAACTAGAACAGCTACATTTATTGTATACCTACTATATGCCAAGCACAGTGCTAAGCGTTTGATATGAATTACTCATTTGTTTCTCAAAATAAATTTGCAAAATTGGTATTCTTAAAAACTAGATATATCCATTGGAGATGAAAAAAGCATCATTGCAAAAACTATTTTTCACTATACCTTAAAGCTAGGATATGCTTAAAGTTAAAAGCCAACCATACATTCTGACACTAAACTTAGTAATTTTTCATAATGTCAGTTTGTTTTCCAATTTATTTTAAAAGAAAATCTACCTGATAAAAGAAAATGCAAGAGGCCTGGGTAAACTTTACTTTGGACTTGGAGTCAGAAACCAAAGTTCCAATTTTTTCCCCTCGCAGTCAATGATACTTTGACCTTGGGCAGATCACAGATCATTGACTGTAAAACTATTTTTAATAGCCAAACACTTTTCCTCACAAAGTCAGAAATCAACGCTTTATATGCTAAAAGTAGAATCTAAACCATTAAACTCCTAATAGGCCCTCCCTTAATAATGAACAGCAGATTTAGGAAAATCACACACACACACACATACAGCTAGTATCCCTCTACATCCTCCACCTCCACCTCCTGTGCCCACTCCAAGGAGAGTCCAGATACTAGGAACTGGTGTATCCTGATGCTCAGTTCTGGCGGAACTTATTCAGTCTTTCACACATTCTTTATTTCATTGGTCTTTCATGACTAATCCATCTGATTCCAACAATCGTTTACACAGGGACACACATCCTTTTCATTCCTTTGTTCTCCTCTCCCATTCTAGCTTTCTTAATCTGCTCAACTGGTTTCTCTTCCTCTTTATTTTGTGACTCTAATCATGACTGCTTAGGGCGGACTTAGTGATACAACTCCACTCAGGTGAAGGGAAGCTGTGCATTTTGAAGTGATGTAAGAGAGAGACAGTGCTTTCCACCTTCAAGGACTTTTAAAAATTCCCACAAATTTGTTCAGAACATCTTTGAAAGTATTTTCCATCACCCTGATTAAACTTATTTCTCCTTAACCTCTAATACTCATGAAAATTAAAATTTTCATTTTGTCATGGTTTTTCTCTTTTATACTACAGCAGTAATTTAATAATTTTTCATTGGTAGTCTAAATACTACTTCAGCTGTACTTAATGATAAGGAGGCGT
Organism: Homo sapiens; assembly: GCF_000001405.40. NCBI lineage: Eukaryota > Metazoa > Chordata > Mammalia > Primates > Hominidae > Homo > Homo sapiens. The sequence goes on from NC_000010.11 coordinate 56,862,665, forward strand.
TTGTTAGAAGCCAAGAAACTAATCATTTATATAATAGTGTTTATTTGAATGTGTTCCAGATTCTTAACAACTGTTTGATAAAACAAAAGTCAGTAATGCAGTCTATCAGTGTTTAAGAAAATAGTCAATGACTTAAACATCACAAGACTAAATTCCTCCATTCCCCTGACCTTTGTTTAGGCAGTGTCTCATTTTTCCACTGTAATTCAAAGTAATTGCATTAGCATGGAAGTTATTTAGGTGCCTTCTACTGGAAGAAAATATCACATATGTCTTTTCCATCTACATAAACATGTAATTAAAAATAATTTATATAAACATTATAAACTATTTATAAAATAGTTTTGTAAACATTGCTTGTAAATATTGCAAATATTGCTTCTTTCTTAAACTCCCTGAGGTCAAGCATAAATACTCCTGCCCAAAATACATGATTATGGACGTTATATGAGGGTGATGTTCAAAGAACAACATTAGAAGACCTTTTATTCCAGAAATCATAACCCAATTTTAATACATAATATGAAAACTTCTAGAAAATGAGTTTTAATGTATTTCCATTTTAATTAATGACAGCCCAGAAGTTAAATGGTTCTCCATGGAACTTCTGAGAAATAAATCGTATTACTGAATAGCAAACAACCACTGTATAGCATGACCTGTATAGGATGACCTACATTCTATAGCAGACAACCACTGTATAGAATGACCTACATATTTTAAATGTAGGTCAAATATCAAACAACCACTGTATAGAATGACCTACATATTTTAAATGGCAGCCCATTTTTTTTATCACCATTGTAAAAAGGTATGGATGATATAAAGTCATTACATTCTCCAAGTTAATGTCACATGCTAGCACCAAATGTGTCCTCTGCCTTGTCAATTTTTGCCAGTAAGAACAAAAAAAGCTACCAGTGGCTAATGCAGATAACAGCTTTCATGTTGGTGTATAGATTTTATCATTAATATATTAGTCATCACACAGCAAAAACAAAAATAGATTTCCTAACTGTCATTGTTTACTGGATTTCTCTTCCACAGCACTTGTCGTACTCCAAAAATAATAGCTTGTCTTACCTCACACAGTTATTGGAACTATCACATTAGATAAAACATGTGAGGCACTGGTTTACTAAATATTTACTAAACATTAGCTATTTTATTGTTATTTAAACTGAAGGACTAACACAAAGAACCAAGACTGAAGCATATGGTAGATGTTGCAAGGGATGAGAACACAGGATGTTGGGCTTGCTCGGATGCTAAGACTCTTTTCTCAATGCATTTAGGCATGATAAGTAAATAAAGGGGAAATGAGATAGGATATAGACACAATGAGTCGTACTCCAATATCCCTTGTACAGGTTGGAATTTGGAAGTCAAGAAAGGCTGTTATTAAGCAAACCACATCCATTTCAGTCAAATCTTCTTCACTAGTAGGTAAGTCTACTTGAAAAAATGTTGAACTTGAAGATGTTTTACTATCTCAGTGTCACTTTAATAAATCTGTAGTGTCTTTTGGAAGGTAGTTTATTTTCAAAGGGATAAATTTTAGTCAAGTAACTTTAGCTAAAGGATTGGGAAAATGTTTGAATTTGATTTTTTCTTTAAGGGATGACTCTTTTGTATTCATTAAATAAATATGTTTGAACCTTTGCCATGTGTTAGACAATGTTAGGTGATTCTTACCTAGGGGCCATGTTACAGGATCTAGTGGTATTCTCCTTGTTTCTAAACTTACTTTGCCAACAAAACACAGTGAGGATTGGTTAGGGTCAGGTTTCCTAGAGTCAGAGCTTAATACGTGATTTATTTAGCAAATGTCCTCAGGAGGAACCTGCAAGAGGGTAAGGGAAAAAAGGATAGGACAAGGGAAGGAATATAGCAAATATGTGGTTTCAGGAGAAGTTTTAACCTTAGACTGATGCCAGGAAAAGCTCTGGAGCAAAAGCTGTGTCCTGCCCAGAGTGAAGAAAGGAGGTTTTACACCAGCATGTCAGTCACTGGGCTTATGTCAAGCAGGGAGGGAGGAAAAGTTGTAAGCTTTTAAACACTTCTAAGAAAGGTGGTTTGAGGTTAGCCAAGAGCTATTCTACCAGAAAGGGTGAAGGTGTAAACTGTTGGCAGCTAAAACACAGCAGCTAGGACAGGAGTTTGCCAGCCCAATAAAGGAAACCTAAATGTGTCACAAACACAATCTGCTAAAGGACAGAGTCACTGTTGGAACCCTAAGACAAGAACCATACGATATTAAATGAAACAAAACAATCATATTTATGGCAGTTTTCTCCTAAAATTTATTGACTTTTGGAGAGGTAAGATTTGACCAAGAGACCCAGAAAGATGGACAAAACCTACAATGTCAAATAATACGTGCCAAAAATGTGCTAAATAGTTTACATGTACTAACTAACTTTATATTTCAACTGTCCTGTAAGAGTTTCTTACTTTTACAGATGAGGAAACTGGAGGTTAGCAAGGTTAAATCACTCATCTGTGACCACACAACTCTCATAAGTAGGATCCACCTCTGTTGTTCTCTAAATACCTTGATTTTTATGTTTTGCTGTCTGTGCTTTAGTTTCTCCATTTACAACAGGAGGAACAGCAATTAGGTTATATCTTCAGGATGATGTATCTATTAATAGATGAAATATATTGAGGTAAAAATACTTTGAGTAACTTTATAAAAAAGATAGATTCTAGGACCCTACTTAATATATTCAAAGAGATTCTCCATGACTAGCTCCCCAGAAAAATGGTTTAAACGTCAGAAAAATGGTTTAAACATCAGAACATTCTAGTGCTCAGTAATGTTTGCAAATTGATGAACTAAATTAAATAACGTATTTTAATACACCAAAACCATTGGCTTTGGAACAAAGGGAACTTACCCATCACAGTTACAATCAATGAAGCATTTTATAAAAGTGACCTAAAATGTTTATATTCAGGCAAGTTTTTCATATGGCAGCCTAGCAATTGTCCCAGAGTCTGGGATCTTTAAGCAAACAAAGTAGAATATTTTTGAGGTCATGTTCACAAGATGTCAACTGCCTTCTTCCAGTAAAAAAGATCAAGAAATGTGAAGACATGGTGAACAAAGTTGAGGTAGTCAAGAGAAATGTCCAGAAAAGCAAATTAAGTAGAGAGAAGGCAGCAGCAAGGATGTCTCAGAGTACATTGAACAAAAAAAAAAAAAAAAGTAGAAGTTCCCGTGAGCAGAGGTATGAAAGTCATAGAAAGAGTGTTGCTTAAGCCTTTATAGTTATGTCTAATAAAGATAAGGAAATATTTAGAATTAATGCTGAAAGTCATGATATCATGTAAGCAACACAATATGCAAAGATGAAGCATACATAAAGGAAACAGTAATCTCATGTAAAATTAGAATGATAAAGAGATTGAGGGCTATCAGTCATTCATCACTGAAGTTTTCACTAAAATTTCACCGAAATTGAAACAGAAGCAAACTGCTGATTACTTTTAGCTTGATGCACGTATCTACTAAATTGGGCTGGATATGGTGGCTCATGCTTGAAATGCCAACACTTTGGGAGGCAGAAGTGGGAGAATTTTTGAGCCTGTGAGTTCATAGACCAACTAAGGCAACTTGGCAAAGCTCTGCCTCTACAAAAAAAAAAAAAAAATATTGGGTTGTGCTAGTGCACACCTGTAGCCCCAGCCACTTGGGAAGCTGAGGTGGGAGGATTGTTTGAGCCCAGGAGGCACAGGTTGCAGTGAGCCTGGATTGTGCCACTGCTCTCCAGCCTGGGCAACAAAGTAAAACCCTGTCTCAAAAGAAAAAATAAAACTCACTGGTTCAGTAAACTAGTAAGGGTTCATTTTATAGGTTTTGTGTTCAAAAATTAACAATACTTTCCTACTGTTAAAATATTAAATTAAAGGCTCCTTTCAAACATTTTAAAAATCCATGTCAAAACTATAGCTCAAAAAATGACTATAATTAAGATTTTTGTCCCTAAAATGAATATTACTAGTAATCAGTACAAATTGTATACTCTGCTTTAACAAGATGTATTACAGCATACATTCATACACTTTGGAGAAGCTCCTAGGAATCCTTTCACAAAATGAAGAATATAAATTACTAGTCAAAGTCACTAATCCTCAGAAAAAAAAATCCTGAAAAGTATACTAACAGGTACATTGTAACTCTAGTTGTCATCAGAAAATATTTGTAACAAATATTCTCATTGCCTTGATTCAAGTTGAGTGGTCATGTGATTTTTCTTTTTTTATTTGGCCAACGAAATGTGAGCAGAAAGTATCATATAGCGCTTTTAGATGGAAGATTCAAGAGGCAAAACACAAGTCCACGGTCTATTTTATTCTCTACCTTGGCAATCTGCAACATCTCACATACTGATTGTTTCATCTGTCTTCTTCCTAGAATAAGGAAAACAAAGACGAGGGCCTCCAGCCGACCAATGACGGACATGCAGTGTGAGCAAGGAATTATTTTATTTAGTCCTCAAGATTTAGAGGTGGCGTGTCACTTTAGCATAGCCTTGGCATTCTGACTGATACAATTGCACACTAGCATCTCTCCTGCTTTTGCTTAAAATTATGTGTTATTACTACAAATGGCCTGTTTCATATCTCAGGTTTAATTTAACAGTAATTATAATAAATTAAATTCCCCTATTGAAGTAAAAATCTTCAAAAAAAAAAGTTTCTCTGTGAGGCATAATTGGCCAGTGATTAGATAGCGCCTCGGGGAACCCAGGAACAGCATCATGAAGGAAGCAGCTTTCAGTCTTCTATCTCAGTGAGAGTTGCGCATGAGTCACAGAGTGGAACTTAGTCTCATTAACAGCAAAAAGCAATGATTGTAACACCCTTGAAAAGAAGGGGTGAGCCCTTCAGGCTACAATCAACAGCTACTGGCAGAAGAAGTTCTTATGTGACTATATTATAAAATACATACTGCTTTTTAATTGGCAACAAGTCCTTTGCTGTGACCTGTTGGAAAAAAACACTCTATATGGGAAGGGGAACAAAATTATCAGGAAAAACATTTAATCTCAGGAAATAACACATTCAAAAACGTTTACTTAAATAAATTATGTAACTATTTAAATACATGGCTATAAAAACACTTGAAAATCAGACTACATTTACATGTAGTGAGTTAATTCCAAAATTGCATATAATAATGCTGGCTTGTAGGGTAATGGCAGAAGTGATTCGCTATTTTTTTTTTCTTTCCAAGTACCCTTTAGGCAGCTGGTTAAGTGCCACAGATGCTTCCCTCAACATGTTTTGTTTGTTTGTTTGTTTTTTAATTTAAAGTTATTGTTTTAGCTAAGGATCTCCAGAGAAACAAAACCGGTAAGAACCAATAGAATTTGTGTATATTGTACTATAAGAAATTGGCTTACACAATTGCTATGATCTGAATGTTTTCGAAAAAATTGACACATTGAAAGTCAATCACCAATGCAATAGTATTAAGAGGCGAGGCCTGTAGGAGGTGATTCAGCCATGAGGGCAGAGCCCTCATGGATGGGATTAGGGTACTTATAAAAAGGCTTAAGGGAGGAAGTTGCCTGTCTTCAGAGTGTTTGTTTTCTTTTGCCTTTTTCACCCCTTACGCTATGTGAGAATATAGCAAAAGGCCCCCACCAGACACTGAATGCTGTCACCATTATTTTGGACATCCAGTGTACTAAGAGCAACAGTGTTTGTTCTCCATCTTCCTCCTAGAGATTATCTTTTGTTCTGAAGCAGAGATAGGGAATAAGGGCCCAAGTGGAGTTTCATGTCCTTTGCCATGGAGGCTGCTGTTCTTTCTCAGATCAGCATCACAAGGGGTGCTTTCTGAAAATTATCTGTAGTCTTTTCTCTGAGCACATTGTTGAGTTCATGAAGGACAACCCTGCAAAAAGGAGCAGACTTCACCATTTCTGTGGCCCCCAGAAGCTTTATACTCTTACAATAGTGCACACTTGGCTTTCATTACTTCATCTATTCACTGGCTGTCCTCTTCCAGTAAAGTGTCCAGTTCAACTCCCCAAGGTAAGCCACCATTTGTTCTTTTCTAATCCTGTAGGCACCAGCCTCTTCTTAAATCTTGTGCCTCATGGTGGCTCTGCAACCACAACTTCCTGACAATTTTTTTTTTAAGTGAAAACATTCAATTTGTCGGGCTTTTTGTTGTTGTTGTCTTGTTGTTAAGGATAGGAAAGATTGTCTTTTTACATCTTGACATGGCTTAGTTCAATCTTGAATTATATATTTGCTTTAAGTGGTTATGGACAATTACCAAATAAATTGAAAATATTAAGACTATATTTCAGCAAATTTCCAAAAATTGAAATCATGCCTAGATTACTTTTTCATTATTGTGTAATTAAACTAGAAGTCAATGACAAAATCAAATTGAAAATGACTCATATTTAAAAACTGAGGAATATACTTCTAAATAGCCAATATTTCAAGGAAGAAATCATCAATAAATTCTAAAATATTTTTAACAGAATAATAATATATATTAAACACATAGAAAAGATATAAAGCTTTGATTAGAGGGATATTTATAACATTAAATTCCTATGTTAGGAAAAATCAAAGCTAAAAATCAAATATTTGTGTATTTGTCTCAAGATATTTTAAAAAGAGTAAAGCCAAAGGTATTATAAGAAAGATAATAATAAATAAAAGAAAAGAAATTAATTAAATACAAACAATAATTATGAACAGAGCCAACATGTTTTTTACATTGGATGAGTTATAACGTTTATAACATCTAGCAGGAACGTTACAGAATAAAAAAGAAAAGACCCAAATTCTGATATTCTATATTTAAAAGGGGACTTCAGTAGATAGACTACATAGAGTAAAAAGTAGTAAGATTACAAACTATTTTATCCAATTTTTAAATTTTAGAAAAATTGAACAAATTTCTTGAAATAAAACTTACAAAATGATCTTAAGAGGAAAAGAAAATGAGATAGTCATGTATGCATTTAATGAAGCAGGCTTATGTTTAAAATCCTCAGACAGAAACGTCTAGGACAAGAAATTTTACTAGTTAATTCTTTTAAATATTTAAGAAAGAAATAAGAATAATCTTATACTAAATCTTCCAAACAGTAGAAAAGACAAAACATTTAATAATTTGCTTTAAAAAGCCAGAATAAAAGTGATTCTTCTTTATTGGAAGAAAACATCAAATTAATCAGATTTTCTTATTAGAAAAGAAAATTAGAGAATAATCACATTCATGAACTTAGGTGGAAAAATCATAAAGAAAATGTTAGCAAATGGAAACCAGCAATTATAGAAAGCATAATACTTCATGGTCTAGTTAGGTTTATTTTAAAAGTGAGAAATGAATTTAAAATTTAAAAATAAATAAATGTAAGCTATTGATTATTGCCACAATTTCAGATCCTGTTATTGGTCTATTGAGAGATTCAACTTCTTCCTGGTTTAGTCTTGGGAGAGTGTGTGTGTCGAGGAATTTATCCATTTCTTCTAGATTTTCTAGTTTATTTGCATAGAGGTGTTTATAGTATTCTCTGATGGTAGTTTGTATTTCTGTGGGATCGGTGGTGATATCCCCTTTATCATTTTTTATTGTGTCTATTTGATTCTTCTCTCTTTTTTTCTTTATTAGTCTTGCTAGCGGTCTATCTATTTTGTTGATCCTTTCAAAAAACCAGCTCCTGGATTCATTAATTTTTTGAAGGGTTTTTTGTGTCTCTATTTCCTTCAGTTCTGCTCTGATTTTAGTTATTTCTTGCCTTCTGCTAGCTTTTGAATGTGTTTGCTCTTGCTTTTCTAGTTCTTTTAATTGTGATGTTAGGGTGTCAATTTTGGATCTTTCCTGCTTTCTGTTGTGGGCATTTAGTGCTATAAATTTCCCTCTACACACTGCTTTGAATGTCCAACAATGATAGACTGGATTAAGAAAATGTGGCACATATACACCATGGAATACTACGCAGCCATAAAAAATGATGAGATCATGTCCTTTGTAGGGACATGGATGAAATTGGAAATCATCATTCTCAGTAAACTATCGCAAGAACAAAAAACCAAACGCCGCATATTCTCACTCATAGGTGGGAATTGAACAATGAGATCACATGGACACAGGAAGAGGAACATCACACTCTGGGGACTGTTGTGGGGTGGGGGTAGGGGGGAGGGATAGCACTGGGAGATATACCTAATGCTAGATGATGAGTTAGTGGGTGCAGCGCACCAGCTTGGCACATGTATACATATGTAACTAACCTGCACAATGTGCACATGTACCCTAAAACCTAAAGTATAATAGTAAAAGAAAATAAATAAATAAATAAATAAATGTAATTTACAGTATTCAAAGAAAAAATGTAAATTTCCTTATATTCAGTAGAATAGATGCACAAAATATTTGGTAAAACTTAATACCTGCTGATAATAAATACACTAATACATCAAGCAAAAGAGGGCCAAAATAGTCTTCCTTACTTACTCCAATAAATGATACCTACAAAAACTTAATAAAATAACTTTTAGTTGTGAAATAGTGCACATTTTTCTCTAACATTGGAAAAAAGATCAGAATATCTATTGAACATTCTCACAAAGTTTCCAGGTGATACAATAAAGCAAGCAAGTGAGAGAAGAAAGGAAAGGAAAGGAAAGGAAAGGAAAGGAAAGGAAAGGAAAGGAAAGGAAAGGAAAGAAAAGGAAAGGGAAAAAGGAAGAGGAGAGGGAGGGAAGAAAGGGAGGAAAGAAAAGGAAAGAAAGAAAATATGCTACATATAAGCTAAACATAATATGCCTTGTGTCCCAGAAATTTTATCTTGGGTAAATACTCAAAATAAATGAGTGTCTGTATCCAACAAAAGATGTTTTCAAGAATATAGATAGCCATATTATTCTTAACAGCCAAGCATTAGGGAAAAAACCTAAATGTCCACCAGTCATTGGTATTCTAAGGAAACACAGCACCACAAAGGAAACACAAAACTGCTGATCTTTGTAAGAAAATTCATTATCACAGGCATCATATAGAATGAAGGAAGTCAAATGCAAAATGAAAACACACTATATTGTTAAATTAGTATGAATTTTTAGAACAGGAAATATGAATCTGCTGTGATAGAGATCAAAATAGTAGCTGACTTTGTCATGTATTTAGACGTGGCAATGTCAATCGATATGGAGTTCAGGGAAGCACGCTGTGGTGATGAATTCTTCCTATTTCCTGATCTGAAATGTGTTTACGCCAATACTTGCATATACTTTACACCGATATATGCTGAAAATTTGTGCACTTATGTAAGTAATACTTTAATTGAGATTTTAAAAGAGAGAAGTACCTAATGTAGATGACGGTTTGATGTGTTCAGCAAACCACCATGGTATGTGTATAACTATGTAAAAAAACCTGCATGTTCTGCACATGTATCCCAGAACTTAAAGTATAATAAAAATAAATAAAATAAATAAACCTTAAAAATAAGTCTTATTTATAAATTATTGTTTTGATCCTGAGACTTCTTGAAGCAAAGTGATCTAGTGAAAAGGAAATTATTATATACTTAAATTTTGAAAAATATGACAAATACAACAGGCATTAATGAAGTTTATTGGGAAAGACCAGAAGGAAAAGTTAATATTAAACTCACTATGCCCCCAAACTTACAAATGTCTTACATGAAGATTCAACTAAAAACAGGTGTGATCAATCTATAATGCAGTGTACTACAGAACAGTAATTTCTTTGAAAGGGCCACACCCAGTTAAGAACAAGACAAAAAGACTCAGCAGAAATTGTCAAATCCAAAATTGTGATGTAATATTAGACTTAAAGTCAACCTGTATATAATTCAAGGGAATATAACTTACGTTATACTTCCTTTAACCTCTCCTATTGGCTATCAAAATCACTTGAAATCTCAAATTATGACCTTACTTGAAAAGGGTTCGGTCCATCAAACACATACTTACCAAGCACCTGCAGTTAACCAAGCATTGTGTTGGGTGTGTAATGAAGAAATAAAGGGCTTATTCTATCCTTAAAGGAAAACCCAGTCTAATATTGACAGACTTTCTCCTTGGCTAAATTTTAAACAGGCTCCTTTGAGTGCTCTTTTAGGATAAACTTGGACATTGTCTTTCTTTGTCTTTAGCCTGTGTAGCCCAGTCTTAGCAAGAAACCTGCAAAGTCAGTTTATTCAGTCTTCCACCTTTGATATCTGACCACCCTCAATATCTGCTCGAATTTCTCATCCCCTACTTTTGCTGTCACCCTGGCCTGCCTTCAGCAAGATTCCTGCTAAGTTAACTTAGTAAGAATATGCCTACCTTTGATATCTGCTTTTAGTAATTTTCTATCAACTAACCTCTTCATTCTGCTCATTGAATATACATCCCCAGCAATCTTTGCTGTATTCAAAGTTGAGCCCATTCTCCCTCTTATTGCAATAGTATTGAATAAAGTCTTGCTTATCATTTTAACAAGTATCAGAATATTTTTTAATAATAGAAAAGCCAGATTTACACAAAAGTATAATAAAATATTATAAGAATTATAATAATATCATGCATAATGATACAATTTAATAAAAGACAGGGTAACACGTAAGGAATAAAAAAAAAATCTAAGAGTGAATGTAATGTTTACCTCTGTTTGGTGGGTGTTGGTATAGCACAGAGGAAGTAATGTCTGAACAAATTTTGATTGATAAAATGCATTTGCCAGATAAAAGAAGAGAAAAAAAAAATCTAGAAAAAAGCAATTATGTTATAGAGGCATAGATAAATATGGAGCATTCTTGGAACTAAAAATAGTTCATTATCAATTAAGTGTTAATGCCATCATGGAAAACTAGATTAGGCATCATCCAGAGGAACATGGACTATGATTTACAAATGAAAGCAGATTTTTAGGGATATCAAGTAGGGAATGAAGTAATAGGATCATATTTTAATGTTTGGTAAATTTTTCTAGAAACTTTATTGACAATTATTTGAGTGGATAATATAGGAGACTGTAGATAACTTCCTATGGGAAGTTTTCAGAAAAATATAACTATAAATATTACTAAATAACAATTTATTATAACTATGGAAATGGAGATGAAAAGTAATGAATTTATAACAGAAATTTAGAAATTAATATAAATAATATTTGTTCATTTAATTAGCTTTTGAAGCAGGGGGCAAAGATTTGGGAAAAGGCAAGGGACACCAATGACTCCCAAATTGTGAGGTTCATGATGCCATCAACCAAATGGACAAGTATGGATTTTTTAAATGCATGTTTCAAAAAGGTAGTGAATGGCTATGGAAAATTTAGGTGGACATTCTACATAAGTAAAAATCTTTAATGGTGATAATGATGATCATCATGGTGACTACGATCATGATACCACTGGATTGTTTAACATTTGTCACTTCCAAGCTTGTGTTAAATGCTTTACATACATTAGCCTATTGTAATTAATTAATTCTTACATTATTTAATACATTAATTGAATTAGTTTATTCAAATCTATTATTTCCATTTTGAAAGGTGGAAACTGAGGCATAGGAAAATTAAGTAACTTGACAAAAGCTACAAAACTAGTAAGACACAAAATCTGAGTTAAAAAAATCTTAATTTCATGCACTAAATCATGAAGCTTCAGAAACACAAGAGAAGACTCAGGATCATGAAAAGAGAGTAGTCATAAGATGATAAATCATGTCAAGATAAATTATCTGATTGGGAAAAATATAACATCAGAGTAATCTTGCCTAAAACCAGGTCACCTAAACTAGAACTGACCTTACACTTCTTTTACATTTAGATACATTTTTATCAAGTCTGAAAACCTCAATACTTCTTAAATGTACAACCTCAGACAACTCACTTCTTCGCATTGCTTCTTTTATTTTCATGCCTGAAATGAGTTAGTTTGATATGCTGATTATTGAACTTCCTCTTAAATCTTAAATTTCCAGAATTCAGAATAAGCTTGCACAAATATTCTTACCCTAAATTAATTTGAAAGTTCATGGATAATCTCACAGGGAAACGTGGAATAATAATGACTGAATATGCAAAAATATTTTTTGCTCTAAGTTCAGAAATACTCTTTTAAGGAAGCATGAAATAAATATGTTCTTCATTCTTAATATATCTATGTATTAAATGGTAACTTATCACAATGATCCAATTAAAAGCTAATTTTCCCCACATGCACCTGTATTTGTGACAGTTTTTATCATAATTACTCTTAATAATTTCATAGTGAACAAACATGAGTTGAAATTTGGTTAACAATTATGCAATACCATTTCATTTAATTTGGCTATTTCAAGCCAAATTTAAAATCATCTCTATTAGCACAAGTCGTGTTTTGATGGATTCTTCTAGGGGACTGTACTGAATTTGTTAGTTCAGGAACTCAGCAATAGACTGTTCTATGTAATCTAGTTAAGGTACTTATCTTACAAGAGCAGCAGCAATTTGACCAGTGGAGGTAAATTACATAACTGAGAATGACTAAGCTATGTCAGTCAGCTCCTAAGAACACCTGGCTACTAGAAAATCTCAGTGTTACTGCTGTCAATTCTAAGACAGCAGTTAACAATTCTAAAAGGTTTACCCAAAAGAATCATTTTTAAAATTTACTTATTTCAGATTAAATCAAAGGGGTTCTTTAAAGAAGAGTTGCCTATTTATTAACAATAAAGATAAAGAATGATTCTCTTACCCCATTGTTTGCTTTATGTTTTTTTTTAATAATTCCCCTATGGCAATACAATGTTGTTCACTTTAAGAAATTAACATAAAAATTTATATTTGAATTTCAGCTCTGTGTCTGATTTGAAGCAGGCACTTTTTGTCTTCCTTTCGTAACTTTTGTAATATGAAGAAATTCATGCTGCTTGCATCAATACATGAATCTATATTGTACCAACATCCAATGTCCTTATATATATGCCATGTAATTTTCAAAAGTTAATATTTTTTCTAGGAAAAAAAAACCCACTATCTGTTATGTGGATCGGGTACTTTGAGTGGTTATTAAAAAACAAAGAAAGTTATATATCCTATTTCAACTGACAGATCAAGGTATAATTTTCAGTCAAATGGCTCAACATATAAAATAAAGGTTTTCATGGAATGTTAGGACTACATAGATTCTCAACTCTCACTTATACCAAACTTCAATTTTTGGTACTTAGAAACTTAGGCCAGGAAAAGAGAAATAAGCAGCCCACAGTGAAACAGGAAAGTAATGGCAGAACTGAGACTCAAAATCAAGTTTCTGCCTTCCAAACCCGGTGCTCATTTCGATTGTACTCTACTTCTCCAAAATATATGGCTAGTACCAAAATTTGGATGAGAATAACTTAGCAGAATTTCTAATTTTGGTATTATTGGGTCAAGATTGTTCTGAAAACAGAATGTGTTTATTCACGTTCACTACTTGGCCAATTTAACTATGTATTATGCCACTTACGTATCCCTTAGTTTGCTTCTCACCTTATTTTTTGGCCACTATTTCAATAAAACTAGAAGCGATTTTACACAAACTGGGAGGAAAATCATTGGAAGACCTTGTTGGTCACCAAGGCAACGTATACTGTAGCATCTCTCCTGAGTTCCAGTAGTGAACTCTTATTCAGCCAAAAGCAAATGTTTGAACATTGGACATCAGCTTCAGCTGATCCCCCATTCCTTGGGTTCAGGCATCACTAGAGCATTTGTTTAACTGTTATATGTGCATGAACACTAAGGAGTCTTCTGAGAAATCATTAAAGCTCAGGGAAGAATACATCTTATTTGATTAAATGGGAAAGTTTTAGTCATCAGGGAAGAGAGTGCTTTTTGAGTACAGTTTTGTTTTTTTCACTAATATTTGTCTCCCAGAATAGGCTAGCCCCTAATGGATTCATGTCTTGGTTCTACAAACCACAGGAAATCAGTAGATAAAAATGAAAAGAGCTGGTTCACTGAAAATTCTGCAAAATGTTAAAAAAGCCATAAGGTGAAGGTGATTATTGAATAATATTAAGTAAAGCAAAATGAATGCTAGGATTCACTTTGTGATGAGCAATCATTGAGTTTTTCATCCAGAGAACATACTGCCTCCACTTTGTGAGATGATGTTGCTGTCCAGCGAACAAAGAAGTAACCAGTGAACTTTGGGCAGGAAACAATGTGAAGTCACAATTACTCAGCAGGATGAGAATTGTTTGTAAGGATGTGAGGACCCTCAGAAAATAGTTAAGGATATCCAAGAAATACAAAAGATATGGAGATAATCCTACGGTGGACTGAAACCTCGCATGAAAAAGTATTTGTTTGATGAATTAAATTATTACTAAAAAATGTGACCCCTTAAGCTGGAAAGATAAAGAGAAAACAGGTTTCATTTGCAAACATTATGGATACAACAATTTTCCTATCTTCTAAAATCTAAAAGGACTCGATGAATCTTACATTAGGTGTCCTCATCCAAATCATTTGGTACCGTAGGTAAACAGGTGCACCTACAAATTAAATAGCCGAAAGGAAGAGGTGTAAAGAAAGAAAATTCCTTTGGAATCTACAAACATTTTTACTTTAATCTTGGGACTGAAAGCTCATTACATTGCCATATGGGAGACAAGCTATCCAACAATATATTCACACATATAGATTCTGACATCATGTTAAACTTTGCACTCTCATTCACAACAGCTTATAAAAATAAGAGATGTATAATACAGAGTTTCCATCGCCTCCAAATAAAAATTATTTTATAAATGTATGTCTCAGTTGATACCTTGGCTTTTTGACCCCACCATTTATGCTTTCTTGCTTTGAAGATCTAGTAGAGTAACCTGGTGAAAAATACGTATATATTACTGTATTTCTGAAATCTTACAGGCAATGTTGAGTGAAAGCAGCAATACCTAACAAGATATCCCATTCAAATATGTTTTAATTTTATATAACACTTTTAAAAGGAAAAACTAAAATTTATTTTTACAATATTTACAAAATTACTGAAACTATAAAGAAAAGCAAATTTAATAGAGTGGCTATCTATGGTAGGAAAGAGGGTACTTACCATGGGTAGAAGCTTATAAAATGTTGGAAAGGTCATTTTTCTTGACCACTATAATTATTCGTTAAATGGAATATGTTTTTATATGCTTTCCTGTATATGTGCTTTATTTCATAATAAAAATAGCTAAGAAATATTTACCCTTCATTTTCTCTAGCATAATAAAATATTTTTGATTCTGATAGAGACAGTATCCTATAAATAGACAACAGATCTTACAAGATGCTGAAATTGAATACTGTTCTTGGCAAAGTTTGTCCATTCTCTTGTTTGTTGCTTTTGTGCTTGTATAATAATACGAAGAATTACTATTTTAAAAAAATTACCTAATAACTACTCATGTCAAAATATCTTAGGGAGATTTTCATAAAATACTCCTTAAATTTTAAAAATCACAATACTGGTCAGGAAATCGAGACCATCCTGGCTAAGATGGTGAAACCCTGTCTCTACTAAAAATACAAAGAATTAGCCGGGCATGGTGGCGGGTGCCTGTAGTCCCAGCTACTCGGGAGGCTGAGGCAGGAAAACGGCGTGAACCCAGGAGGCAGAGGTTGCAGTGAGCCGAAAGCCGAGATCGCGCCACTGCACTCCAGCCTGGGTGACAGAGGGAGACTGTCAAAAAAAAAAAAAAAAAATCACAATACTACTGCTGTAATCACTGCCAATGGCAACAGGACTGATTTGGGCTGAAACAAATCTTAGATATGGGCTCCAAGGTGCACTTTATGTGTGTCACCTTCATTTCAGTGGAAATCTCAATGTTCTCGTCAATGTCTAAATTATTAAAGCATTCCTCAGAGATGGGCTGATAGGGTTTCCCTAGTGTCTAACTACCTAATATTTCAAATCAGTTGCTATGATATTGGACCCTGCTTCTTCTTCCTTGGCAGGCTTTGACTCTCTTCTGTCAGTCAGATTTGAGTTTAATTAATTCTCTGGACAGTCCATCTGTCATAGATTCCTCTCTGGAAAGCAACATCTCTGCCTGGAGGTAGGAATCCCGTCAAAGGAGCAATAAAGGCAGCCTACCTGTATAATTTACTATCATAAAAAGGGATACTTATCCAAGACAGTATGACAGACAACTTCTGTCTTCTCAAGAGTCACCCAACCTTTTTGACTCTCCCAATAAATGATAGAAAATGGCTTTCCTACCCCTAAGGCTACATGTCCTCCCCACACTAATGCCAGTAACCAGCAATTCTTCATTCTCAGGTACGCAACGAAGGTCCGAACTGTGATGTTCAGATAAGCTGAGTCACAGAGTTCAAACAAGGCCACAGAGTACGCCATGTGAATGTGTGCAGAAACATTTTATAAAAAATAATACATAGGATGAGAGAATAGCTATTGCTCACAGACTTAGGATTGAATTCTGGCCCTGCCACTTACTAGCTGTTTTGTTCAGAGCACCTACCTCTTGGGATATGTACATATATATTGCATATAAAGGGGTGAGCATAGAGCATTGCCTGTAACAAATAGTCAATGACTGTAAAGTAATATGCTATTCTTACTGCCACACCTGTAATTTTAAATCTTATGCAAATTATGAGCAATAATTTCCATTTTTATAAAAACTCACATATAATATTATAAATAAAACCCAAAACCATATGAAATGTTAATTTCAATTAGGCAGACTAGCAAACTCTAAAGAAAATAAAGTCTTCATTGTGTCCAAATGGACCTGGGTAATCTTCTTTCCCCATTTATCATCACTCTCTTAGACTCACTGACTTTCTAACAAATTCAAGCCCCTCGAAATGTCTGTTACTCCCATAACTGCACTCCAAGAGGAAATAATTCTTTGTACCTTGCACAAGCTCTTAATCCAAATTCTCCCACCCTGTGTCTAATTCCTTCAGATCACACTCTTAGCTAGGATTTATTTATTACTTTAACCAGCTTGTCCACCACGTGGGTCCTGTGGGTCTATACATTTTTTTCAATAACCTTTCTAAGTAACCTATATTTTAACAGCAATGAATAATACTGCATATGGCAAAAACAAAACAAAAACCCTCATGTAAATCAAACTGTTCACATACATTTAAATATTAGGCTATTAGTGAACAAAAGAGAAAAAAAGAAATAGAGCCAGTTTGCCACGAAAGGAGAATAACAAATAAACAAAAGCAAATGATTATTCTTGCCACATTATACAGGGTCTGGAGAGAAAAGAAAATAAAAGATAATTGCTCAGAATAATTGCCATTAAGTTTTCATTGCTAGCAAATTTTAGTTTAATCATTCTGGAGGAAAAACAAATATGTAGGATGAGAAGTATTTTACATTCAAAAGACCTTTATTACTCTTTTCAAAAGATTTTATGCAATTAAAGAAATTTCAGTCAAAATAACAGGAGATTTGATAGTTTAGACTCTTTGGAAATGCCTGTCAAAAGATTCCTGATGTTTTCTGAGAGAAGAGAATTATGAAATGAACAAGTCTATCTATTCACCAAAACTAAGAAGATGGCATTATTAGTATTAGAAGCTAGTTTTGGTGTCACAGAGTAAATCTATGGTATTTACTCAACTGTCATGACAAATCAAGGGCTTAAGAACTGACAAAGTAGCTCAGATCTAGAGAAAAATGAAACTTTCAAAGACAACTAGTATAAGCAGTCATTATATTGCAGTAGGTAGTCAGGCAGACATGAGCAGTGCAGGAGAGAGCCCCTCTCTGCCCCTCAACCGACCAGGAATGTCAGGCAACCGTAGGTTTGTGTGATATCAGTTTCCATTGATGATCATTGCCTAGTTTCACTATGTGATTAGGTTAGAGAGCTGTTAAAACTGTCTCTCTAAAATAATAATTGGTCTCAGCCAGCGCCAGGGGAAGGCAGTCTCCCAGTAGATTGAAACACCTAAAGTTGGTGATCAGCAGCTTTTTGAGAAGATCTCAGGAGTTGGGTGAGTGGGCTCAAGCATGCACACTAAGAGGTAAAATGGTAGAGTTTAACTAGTATATGACCTTCTCTAGAAACACTCAAGTGGTAAGGGAAGAACGCCTGAAGTGAGCATGTGCACTATTTCGATAAACACACTGTTCATGCGGCCCCTTTCAAGTGCTGGCAGACCACTGCTCTTCTGGACAGCCCACCACAAGGGAAGAGTCAGGGGACAAGTAACACAACCAGGAAGCATGCCAAGATTTAAGACCCGAAGTCAAAGATCAAAACAAACACTTGATCTCTCAAGTAGTCTGCTTGGCCCTCTTCCAAGTGTACTTTATATTTCCTTTCACTCCTGACCTAAATTTTTTAATAAACTTTAACTCCTGCTCAAAAAATTGCCTTGCTCTCTTGTTCTGCTTTACGGCCCTCAGTCAAATTCTTTCTTCTGAGGAGACAAGAATTGAAGTTGCTGCAGACCCGTACAGATTCACTGCCATTAACAATTATAATGTCAGTGTAACTAGTAATTATAATGATTAGTTAATATAATATAAAAATGACACAGTTAGGTCAAAACAAAGACAGAAATTGAACAGATATAAAAGTGGCAAGAAGCAGTTAGGGCTAACGCAATTAATCTGATGGGCTCACAATCTGAAACCAGTCTGTGACAGCTGGAAATTTGGCTTCTACTGACAACAGGGGCTAAAAGTACTCCTTAGGACAGACTTGCGCACTAGCTAAACCCAGGAAACAAGGTGAAGTACTTCTATTCCTGGAAGTTTCCTGAAATCCGATCTCTGCTTTAAACTATAACCAAAGACCCATGGAAAATAAACACTCAGCTTTGTTAACAGAATTAAATCAAGCTACCAACTAGAATTGTGACTGGAACTGTAGTATTGCCAATATAATCTAAAAGCACCATTTTAAAAATTGCTTTAAAAGATCTGATTCTGAATTGGGACTTGGAAAGAATGGCAAAACTATTAAAGAGGAGGAAAAATTAGAAACAGAGAAAATGATTTCATATCCTGACAAAGCTGACAACTCTTTGGAAGTATTCTGACCTGAAATACATAATCTCAATCTGTTTGTGGGAAAATATTAGACAGACTCCAAATAGAACATATTCTTCAAGTATATCAGCATAATAGAGGCAGGGATGGCTGTGAACTTTCCCAGATTAAAATAAACACAGAAGACATAATAATTGAATGCAAGAGCTCGTGTACTAGAGGGAAGCAAACACCATGAAGAACATTATTAAGTCAGAGAGCAAAACTGAAATATGAATGCCATATTAAATAAAAATTTTGTATTACTTTTAAATTTAGTAAAATTGGGATCATTAAGTTATCATTGTTTTAAGCCATTAAGTTTTGAGTGGTTTGTTAAGCAATCATATTTAACTTATCTTCTTGGTTCTCCTTATATCAGTTATTAGTTCACCCATCACTTCACCTCTTACATAAAATTGACTTTGCCACTAAACTTACAGTAGTCACATATTTACTAATAATGACAAACTTCATGTATTTTTCAATTTATGTTCAATTCCAGTTGAGTTATTCAGCAAAGATTTATCAAGAACCTCCTATATGCCAGGCATTTTTCAAAGTTCTTGGGTTGCTGTAGAGAAAAAAAGACAATGCCTTGGCTGTCCTGGGCAATGGGCAAGGCTATTATTAAAATACCATGCATGACTCCATTGGAGAAAAAACTCCAACGAAAATAAGATTGTGGAGTAGTTAGTGTTATATGTCTCACTGAAAGTCAGAGAATGTACAATAAAGAATTCATTATAAATATATCTCTGGGGGAAAAATTAGATAATTGAGGGTTAAAATGATTGTAGTCAGAGTGAAAATAATAAGGTTCCAATGTTTTCTTCCTTTTATTTGTTTTCACAGAAGAGAATAGTATTTGAATTGTGTAAACAATATTTACATATTGCATTTGATTGGTGCGTCTCTTCTGAACCACAGCCATAATGTTTTGGTTTTTAATTTATATTTTAGAAATACTAGATGAATTGAACTATCTTTAAAGTTTCTTTATTCTGGACTTTATTGATTGCATACTCTGAGTGTTATATAACATGTTTCCCTGCCTCTTGCATTTTCTTAGACTGGATGTTAGGTATAGATATTTAATCAATTTCAACATTCTGGCAACACACAAAAACCTCAAAAATAGTTATTTATTTTAATAAGAAAGAGTCTTGCCCATTTCTAAATCATTATGCACGAAGCCCAGAAGTTAAACGTATATTTACAATTGTTTCATATATAGCTAGGCTCTTAGTAAGGTTTATCCCCCTGAAGAGAACATTGAAAATCATAATTTTAATATTATGTTTTTCCCCAAATGAAAAAACTTAAACATAAACAAAACTAGAGTAAATATGACAACAAATATAGTTATTATACAGCTATCAAAAAGGAAACACAAATTCAAAGTGAATTTTTTTTTTTTTCAGAGGAAGGAACAGGAAGCAATCTTTGCTGTTCTGCAGGCTCCACTGGTCATACCCCGGCAAACAGGGTCTGGAGTGGGCCTCCAGCAAACTCCAGCAGACCTGCAGCAGAGGGGCCTGTTAGAAGGAAAACTAACAAACAGAAAGGAATAGCATCAACATCTACAAAAAGGACATCCACACCAAAGCCCCATCTGAAGGTCACCAACATCAAAGACCAAAAGTAGATAAATCAACTAAGATGAGAAAAAAACAGCGCAAAAAGGCTGAAAATTTCAAAAACCAGAACACCTCTTCTCCTTCAAAAGATCACAACTCCACGCCAGCAAGGGAACAAAACTGGATGGGGAATGAGTTTGACGAATTGAAAGAAGTAGGCTTCAGAAGGTGAGTAATAACAAACTCCTCTGAGCTAAAGAAGCATGTTCTCACCCAACGCAAGGAAGCTAAAAACCTTTTAAAAAGGTTAGAGGAATTGCTAACTAGAATTACCAGTTTAGAGAAGAATATAAATGACCCACTATTCACAATAGCAAAGACTTGGAGCCAACCCAAATGCCCATCAATGATAGACTGGATAAAGAAAATGTGGCACATATACACCATGGAATACTATGCAGCCATAAAAAGGATGAGTTCCCATTCTTTGCAGGTTCACAGATGAAACTGGAAACCATCACTCTCAGCAAACTAACACAGGAACAGAAAACCAAATGCCACATGTTCTCACTCATAAGTGGGAGCTGAACAATGAGAACACATGGACACAGGGAGGGGAACATCACACCCTGGGGGCCTCTTGGGGGTAGGTGGCTAGGGGAGAGATAGCATTAGGAGAAATACCTAATGTAGATGATGGGTTGATGGGTGCAGCAAACCACCATGGCATGTTTATACCTATGTAACAAACCTGCACGTTCTGCACATGTATCCCATAACTTAGAGTATAATATAAATAAATAAATAAATAAATAAATAAGAAAAATAGAAAAGAGGCAAAATGGGAGAATAAGTAAGAGCTGAAGTGGAGACTTTGGTGTTTACTTTTTCAGAGACAAAAAGTAATAAAAATTCTCTGAAAAATAAGTAAAAAAATTCTTCTGTAACTCAATTACTTTACGCTTCGCAAGTATTAAATCAAAAGATACTGGCTCCTTTTTTCCTGCTTGGAAGATTTTTTTCCAGTTAAATGTGTTACAACCCACCAAGTCAAATATAAAACATCCTCTTTTATTAATCAGTCTATACAGTGTAGTGAGTAAGCACATAGATTGGTGTCATAAAAGTCTTGAGTTCAGACTTTTATGAACTACTTAACTGTTTTGTAACTTTAGGCCAGTTATTTTGCCTTCCTAAGCATCAGTTTCATTATATCAAATAGACATGATACTTAAACTTAACTCCAGTTCTTTGTGATATTAAATATAAAGCAGCCTTTACAATAGACAGGTCAGAGTAAGCATGTATTGGCTTTTAATCACAGAAATAGCAATTCATCTCACATTTAAAAGACCAGACCAGCAGCTCAGAAGAAGATAGCTTAAGGATATTTTATCTAGTTATATTTATCTACATGAAAAGTTATAAACATCACATATCCACTTAAAGAAGAGATTATCATAAGAGGTTGAAGTAATTTCATTGGAAGTACCTAAGGTTTATAGACAATTGGAATTTGGAATGGGTAAGGATTGGTAAGGACTGGGGACTCCATATTTTCTACACTTTTATTAGAGAAAGTGATAACTAGTTGTCATTATTATTAGTAATAAATGTTTTCCTACAATATGTTGTATTGACAAAAGTACTTAAGCTAGATTTATTTGTACTTTTCCTTGACTCATGATAATAGAATCTGTTCAAGTCTTACACAAAATTTGAACCCCCAAATTTACACTTCACTTCCACCTTATCAATAGGAGGTGCAAGTTTACTATGGTCAAGAATTTGCTGAAAAAAAAAAAAAGCAGCTCCAAGATGGAGAGAAAACATTCAAGTGTTTCAGCAAAGGTGATGCCTGGTGAGAAATATTTGCTACTTCAATA
Source organism: Homo sapiens (assembly GCF_000001405.40). Taxonomy (NCBI): domain Eukaryota; kingdom Metazoa; phylum Chordata; class Mammalia; order Primates; family Hominidae; genus Homo; species Homo sapiens. The sequence goes on from NC_000010.11 coordinate 56,885,174, forward strand.
ATTCTGATTAAATTCACCGAACTAAAAGAGGAGAATGAGCTCTGAAAAAAAAATGTTGCATGCTTCCCTGCTGCCTTCTTTTTTGACCAGGAGTGAAGTTTAACAACTGGAGCTCCAAACACTTCATAATCATTCAGTACAATTGTCAAAACTTGGAAAGATGTTATAAGACTGCTTTGGATGAATGAGAAATTATTGTTTGCACTATACCAACCCCAATACTGCAATGAATAAGCTAACCTAGAGAACAGAGGCTACATCTCTAGAAAAAGTGACATAATTGTAAAACTGACTTGGTTCTTTTGGAGGTACACAGAAACTTCAAATAGCATATTACTCTGTGAAAGTTATATGTAGGAGTGAGCATTACTACCTCTAATTGCAAATGATCCCTTTAATTGCCAGGCATCACCTTTGCTGAAACACTTGAACATTTCCTCTCCATCTTGGAGCTGTTTTCTTTTCAGTAAATCATTGACTATAGTAAACTTGTAGCTCCTATTGATAAGGTGGAAGTGAAGTGTTGCAGATGCAGAGATGTAACATGCTTTGGCCAACTTTGTATAAAACAAGAGAGTGTCAGAAATATAATTCATTTCTTTTGATCTTTATTTCTCTGATATTTACTACTCTAGTACTCATTATCTGAAGTGTAATACTGTCATATTCAGGCACTTATTATTTTCTTATAAAAGGAAATAAGATAGAAGACAACCAGATAACATTAATCAATGGATATAAAAAAAATCTTTCTTACTTTTTTTCTAAGATTTGAGAATATCACTGATCTTAGCTACAGTAATTAGGCCATGATTAGGAACATTTGCTACAGTCAATAGTTTGGGTAAACGTAGTTGGACTTTTTTCCTGATTGACCCACAAACATCCCTGAATGTTTTCTAATGAGAAAGACAAAGACTAAATTTATATTCTGCCTCCAAAAAAATCAATGAAAGAAATATAGTGCTTGGTCTATATCCATTTCACATAGCACACACTCAAATAGTTGATCAGCTGATTTTTAATTCAGGAATGAAACCGTAATCTCTTTTCAGTACCATGTAAATTCTGTCTTATATTTTATAAAATATGCATATCCTTTGGTTTCTACAGATGTAATCCTGGACCCAGTCATGTAGTTAGAGGCCTGTGTTTTTTTATACAGAAAGAATGATGTGTAAATGATTTTACACATCATTTCAGAAAATGTTTTTAAAAAATAAAGTGACTAACTCAAGGCACAATCTTAAAGCAAATTTTACCTGCGTTACATCATTATCATTATGTGGCAAGTATCTTTTTGTACCCATTCTGTGACCTCTTGAGAACTTAACACCTTCATATTGCCCTTTGCCTATTATCAGATTTCCTATGTGACCCTTGGGCTTGCCTGACTCTATAACATCACATGTTCCAAAATTATAGCTCTTTTTTCTTTTTCACAAACTCCCCATTCCTCACTTGGATTTAAATTAAGTTGTTAGAAAATCAAAGAATTTATGAGGTAATACCTTCTCCTCTTATACAATGTTTTAACCCTCCCAAAGACATTTTAATCCTAATTATAAAAATATATAATTAAATTGTTATACAAATTTTTAAAACAGTGGTTTTCAGACTTTTTTTTCTCAGCAAATTTTTATTAAAAAAAAAACTTACACCAAAACCCAATATGCAAATTAGATAAACTCAGAGCTGATTGCTGAATTGAGGGTGGAGACATTTAAGAAAACTTCTCAGAAGGCTCCAGTCTTGTTACTTAGAGCACAACTTCATCTGTCAAAATAATAGCTAACATCAGCCTTATCACTGGGAGAAGAGAAAATAGGCAGTGTTTTAATTCCTTCCTTCCAACACGGAAAATTTGCTAAGATCTACACAGTTAACCAATTCTTATGCATAATAAATGTCTTCAATGTCCACCAATATTCTCTTAGAAGAAGGAATCAGGAAGACACAACTACTAATCCCCTTTCCATCTACTACCAACATTTTCTGAAATTTGATGTTTAAAGAGTTGCTGTGTAATTTTTGACTTGTCACGTAAGTCTAGTGCGACAGTAAACAAGGGCACTCTTCTATATAAAATCTGTTTTATATAGACTGGATTAAGAAACTGTGGCACATATACACCATGGACTACTATGCAGCCATAAAAAATGATGAGTTCATGTCCTTTGTAGGGACATGGATGAAGCTGCAAACCATCATTCTCAGCAAACTATTGCAAGGACAAAAAACCAAACACTGCATGTTCTCACTCATAGGTGGGAATTGAACAATAAGAACACTTGGACACAGGAAAGTGAACATCACACACTGGGGCGTGTTGTGGGGTGGGGGAAGGGGGGAGGGATAGCATTAGGAGATATGCCTAATGTAAATGACGAGTTAATGGTTGCAGCACACCAACATGGCACATGTGTACATATGTAACAAACCTGCACGTTGTGCACATGTACCCTAGAGCTTAAAGTATAATATATATATATATATATATAAATCTGTTTTGTATAGATATACTAAAACGGATATAAGAAATGTGTTTGAAAGTCCTCTTTTAAAGTTACCTTCAAAAAGTATTTTCTTTTAGGATATAATGGCTTCATTCATGTCAAATAGCTTTTCTTTTATTTATTTTAAGTTGGGGAATAGACAAAAGTCATACATAATTTAACACAATAAATAAGGCAAATGCAATAATATTGGTGTATTTTTAACCACAAAAAATATTGGTAGATGGCAAATTATATACTCTCGTTTCCAAGCTCTACAAGATATAATATTTTTGGAGTATAGTTGAGATAATTGAAGACAAAAGTAATTTCAACTTGGATACTAATCCACCATGTTGATTTCTGATTAGCCCCCGTCCCTTGAATGCCTCCTGATTTCTACTTCATTTACTGTTCTTAGTATAAGAACATGTCAACTTTGATGTTATCACAGAAATTACAGGCTATGAGGCGAATAGCATTCTTGCCTCTTCTGAACAGTTGCCTTTAATTGTATTACACAGAGCACTTATACTGTCTCCCTATAGTATATTATTCCTGAGTCTGGAGGTAACATGTGTGAACATCTACCTTTCTTGCAGCCACCCAAGAACATGCTTCTGTCTATAAGTTACCCAATAAGAAAGCCTTTACACACAAGCTGGATTTGTATGCCTCATTCTTTGTTTTCTCGGATCCTTTGGTATTTGGGGACCCCTTTGCATATATTGCCCTTTCACAGAAAACTAATAAATAATATTAAAGTGTTTTGGATGTGTGCCATTCTAATCTGTGTGCTTTTCAAAAATTATTTCTTATGTTTCTCAGTAAAATTGTGGGTAATAATATTAACATTTTCAATTACATATGTATAAATTGGTAAACAAAGAGGCCTGGTAACTTGCTCTGGTTGCCTCCCAAGTTACTACCATTTATGTAGACTCTGTGTAGCTACTTCCCACATTGATTCTGAGCTCATGTTGTGACTCACTTTAACCAATATAAAACAGCAATAGACACTGAGACCGTCCAGGTTTAGTACTCAAGAAGGCAGAGTGGCTTCTACTTTTGCATTTTGGGGAGCCCTGTTCCACCATGTAAGTCATTCATCTACACTACTGGAGATACTACATGGAAAGAATATGGTAAAACCATTTTGTTTGTTTGTTTGTTTAAGTTCTGAGATACATGTGCAGAACGTGCAGGTTTGTTACATAGGTATACACGTGCCATGGTGGTTTGCTGCACCTATCAAACCATCATCTAGGTTTTAAGCACTGCATGCATTAGGTATTTGTCCTAATGCTCTCCCTCCCATTTACCCCCAGCCCCCAACAGGCCCTGATGTGTGATGTTCCCCTCCCTGTGTCCTTGTGTTCTCATTGTTCAACTCCTACTCATGAATGAGAACATGCAGGGTTTGGTTTTCTGTTCCTGTGCTAGTTTGCTGAGAATGATGGTTTCCAGCTGCATCCATGTCCCTGCAAAGGACATGAACTCATCCTTTTTTATGACTGCATAGAATTCCGTGGTATATATGTGCCACATTTTCTTTATTCAGTCTGTCATTGATGGGTATTTCTGTTGGTCCCAAGTCTTTGCCATTGTAAACAGAGCCACAATAAACACATGTGTGCATGTGGGAAAGATCATCATGAGAGAGAGACAACCCCAGCTGGCCTCATGAACAAGCTGAATTCAGATTTTAAGCCACCCCAACGAAGCACCAAATGAAAGTGAAACCATCTTTAATTTTCTTCCCCGCTTGCCATCTTACTAAACCTCCATGAGACATCAAAAACATAACCAGGAAAAAAACCATATATATGAGCTGCAGTCAACATACTGAGTTTGGGAAATAATAAAATGCTTGTTGTTTTAAGCCAGTAAGATTTGGAGGCTGGTCATAGTGGCTTCCACCTATAATCCTAGCATTTTGGGATGCCGAAGTGACTCATTGCTTGAGCCCAGAGTTCAAGACCCACCTGGGCAACATAGTGAGACATTATCTCTATGAAAAATAAAAATTAGCTGGGGGAAAAAATGAAAACGATTTGGAACAGCTAATTACACCAAGTATATCACCAAAACACATATTTGTGATTACATAGCTTAGCGAACAGGGATTTGAACATGGCAACATGGCTCAAGGTCCTATGCTTTTAATTAGTAGAATGCCCATATCATGACAAAACCATACTGATGCATATAGACTTATATAGCACTGAAGTTCTGAATTAAGATGCAACACGCTTATCATAGCGGGGTGCCAAAATTATCCCCATCCACTGAATTTTCTCCATCATAAGATGATTTTTAACATCATAAATTTAAAATGTTGAATGTCCAATACTTTATACTACTTGTAATCTCTAATTGTGCATCTAATACCACAATTGATACTCAAAATTCTAATTCATTGTATTCCCACCCTAAAAGTCTACTTTCTTGTCTTCTTCATCTTAGTAACAATGCCTGTTTCTCAAGAGGATAATTTGTAGTTATTCTTGAATTCTTTCTTTCATACAAATAATTTAATCTGTTAATAAATATTATTGGTTTGCCCTTTGAAATGTTTTCCTAGAATTATCTGTACCTCTATATCACTGATTCAAATCACCAAACTCTCTTGCCTATGCTAGTTCAATACTATTCTAACTGCCTTTTAATCTTTTTCTCTGTCAGCCCAATCTCAATATAGCAGCCAGAGTAATGCTTTTAACACTCAAGAGAGTTCCACTTTCAGCACGAGAGTATAAGCTCCCTATTAGCCAACATTCCATCAGATAGCAACTAAAATTTCTGGGTATAGCTGGGTATTCTGGAGAGTAAGCAAAAGCAAGTATATTCAGGAGGGAAGTCAAAATGTGGAAAAGTGATTAGGCTGGGAATAATTCCCCACTCCCACGTTTTCTTTTCTTTTTCTTTTTTTTTTTTTTTTTGAATCTTTTCCCAGAAGTCAGGCTGAACCCACTCCTACCCCCATTATCTTTTTTTTTTTTTTTTTAATCTTTGCAAGAAGGCAGGCTGAAGTCATGTAGGGTATGATACAGGTAATTTTTTTTCTGGCTACATAAACCAGGGAACGAAGCCCAGACAATGACAGCTAGTTGACAGGGAGTATAGGGTAATGAGGGGCTAAAGAAGTAAATCCCCCAACTCTGTATAATTACTTCTAAAGTTTCTGGTTAATCCCCAAGCCATACATTTTTTAGAAAGACTTAAGGGGATGCAGCAAAACTTAAAACATTAAACTGAGGTTTAAAATAAGTTCAAAGCAGTGGGGAAGAGTATAGCCAATTGCTTGCTAAAACAAAAATATCAACATTTTTCAGAGGAATATAACAAAATACAGAATCTTCACAACGTAATCCTCACAATATTTAGGTTATAACTCAAAGTAATCTGACATACAAAAAGAAAATGTAACCCATTTTCAAAGAAGAAAAGGCAATCAACAAATGCCAACCAGATGACACAGATGTTGAAATTAACAGACAAGACCTTTAAAGTAGCTATTGTAACTATGAGAACTATGTTTAATAAGGTAAAGAAAAAAATGGATTCAAAATAAATAAAAGATACAAAACTTCTTAAAATAAATAAAATCATAAAAAGCCTAGAAAGAAAATTATTGATAAAAATTATCAGATGGGCTAACAACAAATGGAAGTAACAGGTGAAAGTCATTGAACTTGAAGATAGATCCACAGAAGTTATAAAGAAGAGTAATTTAAATGATTTTAAAATAATTAACAGAACCTTAGAAATCTGTGAGTTAATATCAAAAAGTTTAATTCCTGGATAATTACAGAAGAAGTCTCTCTTTTCCTCTGCAGTTGCATTGCCTTATTACCACTGATTGAATACTTCACGCTTGCTTAAAGCCTTTTTTGGTCCTTGCTGTTTCTTCTGCCTCAAACTTATTTAAGCTTGATATCAAATACCTGGTTTTCTTACCTCTTTCCTCTTTCTTTTCTTTCTTTTTTTTTTTTTTTTTTTTTTTTGAGACAGAGTTTCGCTCTTGTTGCCCAGGCTGGAGTGCAGTGGCGCGATCTCAGCTCACCGCAACCTCCCAACCTCTGCCTCCCAGGTTCAAGCAATTCTCCTGCCTCAACCTCCCAAGTAGCTGGGACTACAGGCACCCGCCATCACGCCCAGCTAATTTTTTAATATTTTTAGTAGAGACGGGGTTTCACCATGTTGGCCAGGCTGGTCTCGAACTCCTGACCTCAGGTGATCCTCCTGCCTCAGCCTCCCAAAGTGCTGGGATTACAGGCATGAGCTACCAAACCCAATCTTCTTACCTCTTTCAAGTCTCTTCTCTACTCATTCTGTTTATAATGTACTTGTCTCACCTATTCTTTCTTTCCCCTTATGCTGCTTTCATTTTTTCTACAACATTTATAATCTGAACTACTATAGATTTGTCTCAGGTTTTGTTTCGTTTTTCCTTAGTAGATTGTACTTAAATGATGCCTAGAATTCATTTCTGTTTTATTACCTACTATAGTCTCAGAAGGTAAACTCAATAATTATTGGTTAAACCGACATGAATGAATGAGCAAATGAATGAATGGAGACATGTGGAGACAACTAGATCTACTTCTAGATGTTCCAGTTTTCCTGGAACACAAGAGTATTTTGTACCCTGGGCTAGAGAATTGAGAAAATTGAGCATCCCATATCTCCACAGAATAACTTCTCTGCTCAACTTGCCTGTTCTCTCTAACTGACAAAGAGATGATTTAGAATTTCACCCTCTGCAGTCTCTCTTCTTCAGTAGGCAACTTTGGTATTAGTTTGATTAATTTGGGACTCATTGGATGCCCACAGTACACAGAATTCTGCTTTGTTAGACTATACCCAAGGTGATAATCAATTTCCTCTAAAAAGGAGTTATCTAGTTTCATCTCTCCCAGAGGAAAGCTACATTTGACCTTTGGGAATTGTAATAGGATAAAATTACCTGAAATACCAAGAGTGTATAAATTTTATTTTTCTGTTCCTAACTTTTTCACTCTGAATACCTATATACTATAAGATCGAATAATTACTGTGCTAACACTTAGCCATGTGTCTGTAGATCAATGGTTGAGTGTGTTGATAATCACCACCCTCTTTCCTTTCTGTTAAAGGAAGGCTCTGACAAAAATGAATAGAGTACAATACAGAGTTTGTCCTTAGGGCCCAATAAATATGATATTAAAGTTGAATCTATTTTCTTTATGATTCTTCTGGCCCATGGAAGAATAGGAAACAATCTCTCAGTCAGGACACAATGTTGTCAAAGACAAAAAAAACCATGCCTTATTAAGGGTGAAAGTTTTGTCACTATGAGCTAACATTGCACTCTCTTAAAAATTGATTTTTTAATATAAGAAAAGTTATTTAAGCAGGTTATTTTAATGCATTAATAGTAAAAGATTAACAAGTCTATTGCTTCACTGGTGGGAGTATTAATATGGATACCTTTGAAAATGGATACTTGAATTGAAAGAAATGTATGTTTTTTGCTCATAGGATGGGCATAGGAACCCATTTTTCCTAACCCATTCCCAATTCCCCTTCACTCCTATATATGAAACTTAGAACAGATATCGTCAGTGGCCATTTATTGAGATTATAGTCCAAACTTGGGCCATTGCAGAGATCCTGGAAGGATCTTCCAGGAAGCAGTTTTCTTATTATGAGAAGGAATTGAAATTTCCCATCAAAGGGCTTAAAGAAAGGGCTTCTTAATAAGCATATTCCAAACTGAAAGCAAATAAGTCAGGTTAGGAGTGAGGGAAAATTTTCCTGAGCACTCCGTCTGAGATCAAGGGAAGACCACGTTAACCAAAACCTTAATATTTAACTTTCTACATTGTACTTCCTTTCAGAAATTGTTCCAATCCCTCAGCAGAGAAATGTATATATTAAAAGTGCTGAAATCATATTTTGGCCAAACACTTGATGGACAAGAGTTAAAATCTATATTCTGCCAAAGCCAAGCTTGAAGTAAAATATCACATTTCAGACATGGAAATGAATTTAAAATTTATCCAAGCAATGTAGGGTGGTATTACAATTTTATTCCTTAAAAGTTTTGTGGTGACATGTTAAGTTTGGTATTAAAGGCAGAAAGAAAAATACTTAAGCATTATTGCTTGCTAATTCCTTACACGGATGCTGTACTTAACGCTAACTTTCCACTGATGCCAGTGGAAGTACGAGCTAAGATTTGGATGGTGCAACCTCTATAGGTCCCTTGATTATGGTCATGTTGCCATCAAGTTCTATGCTTCCTTTCTCCTGTAATGCAGCTGACCAAGATGAAGATCAGTATGCAATGATCTCTTTAACACTATTGATTTGCTTAATAGTGATGTTGCAATTTCACCAAGGTCATTTCAAACACTTTAGAAGACGCCTTCTGCATATTTTCAGAAATGGAATTGTCCTCACTATTTTATATTTTTCCCATTTTGCATGCACTTGCTGTTTCACAGAATCACTTGAGGAAATTGTGTTCTTAAACCTCGGATTAGAAAAAATGTGACTATAGAAGTATCTGAATTTCCAATGGCATCTCAGTATTTCTTGCATGAATACCAATTTTAACAGTTTCCACAAACAGAATAAAGGCATCATGAGAGAAATACCTGCACTCTTAAAATTGTCAGTTTGGCTATATTTCATCAGGTTTCAGTAAATGGACTATATTCTCTAAAGCAGTCAGTGCTTGTTAGTGTCGTATTGGTATTGTTATGTCTTTTGGAATGATACATTGGTTTTTCTATCTGCTAAGTATGGAAATAAAGTTTTCTTGATTTTTGAACATCTTATATAAGTATATGAAGAGGAAGTTCCAAAATTTCTAGTATATGATTCACTTTGCCTATGGCTAAGGAATAATGATGAAAGAGGCACTGCTATCCCATATCTCTGCTATGCCTAGTAATCATGTAACACATGCTATCCTATGACTGCTTTCTGAATACACAGCTGAATATATATGAATAAAATAAGGTAAGACTCCTCTATCATTCATACCCTCATCATATCTGTTGTCAATTATGTTTGTAAGATATTAAAGTAGGTATACAATTTTTCAGCTTTCCAAAGGCCAAAGCATATGGCAATGCTAAGTAGCAGGGGGTTTGTTTTGTTTTGTGCATAGTATGTTTTCCTAGTGTATACCTGTACAGACTAGGATTTTCATCTTGTGGAAACAAATAGGATTAAAGTGCAAAGGAAAGGAGAACTGCTCTATTCCGTCTCCTGAGTTATAGTAAAATGTGGTCATTTACCTAATGAATATAGGGTGGCTCAGATTTCTAAGCAGTGGTCATTCTTATGAGAGGGTGACTGTGGCTATACCTACAACATCAGGCACAATGTTGGGAGATAATTGCAACAGCATTTCTACCCATTTGTGCTATCCTTTTGAAGATGCTTTTAGAATAAACAGCCATAGAAGTTTGAGGTCATATTCTATTTGCATCAGAGATCAGATTTATTTTCTAACCAGAATGATAGAAATAATGTCTTCTTCAGGGACGAACATTAGGAAGGTTTGCCAGCAGCTCATTATAAGACTGGGAGTTTCCAAACTTGCTGATTGTGAGCTATGTAACACAGATCCAATGTGTTCTTAGCGTTCATAGGGCCTGCCTCCATATCTCCTGCATGGGACTTGGGGGACATGGGGAGCTGGCATAAAGTTCACAATAGCTGCTGAGCTGTTGAATAATAACTTGTCTAAATTGTCTAATCCACAGTGTTCACTGTTTCTTTCTCAATGGCATGTAAAACTGTGTGATGAGTAAACGTACAAATTACGCTGTGATTTAGGGATTGCTCGAGCACTTGACATGCAGGATGTACATTCTAGGGGGTATGTGGGCAACAAAGAATTCATGAACGTGCTTTCTGGTTTTAGCCACAGGCTAGAGGAGGCCATTTCCTTTAGTGAGGACAGAAAAGGAAAGGCCAATAAACTGGGTTTACTTTACTAAACTTTGGTTATAAGTTACACGAAAATACTTGTTATATATAATATTTATGAAAAAAATCACTACTTGGCAATTAAATAAAAACAGAATATAGACACTAATGCCGATGAATTTTTATTATGCTTTTTATATTGGTGTAGGAAATAAAAATAGCTAGACCATGTTAATTCTAAACCAAGGCTTGAGAAAGCTATTTTGGAGAGTTACTAAAAATGTACAACAATAAAATATTCAACAATAAAATGTTTGCTCCCTTGTTTTACTTGGTGTCAATAAGAAATAAGCAGGCGTTCAAGCTCTAGACACATAAATAATGGGTGACTAAAATATTTAAGTCATTTAGACAAAAAATATAGGCTTATATTTTAAATGCAACACTTGTTCAGACATGCTGCTTTAATGCTTTGGGAAAGTAAGATATTTATGTGCTGTTATGGGCTTTGTGATATGACTATTTTACTATGTTATAGTATGCATTTCCATTAATAATAATACAGATCTTATATCAATAAGGTAGCTTTAGAAGTCACATCTGCTGTTTTTCTCTTAAAGTTTTGCAAATTCATTTAAGATATCACAAGCATGTCTGGATACTTTTTACCACAAAATGTACTAGTTCCACATAAAATAGTAGCTGAAATCAAATGCATTTACATGTAATTCCTCTTATCTATTTACAGAATTCCTATATTGTATAACTTGTGTTCATATAGATATGTGTGGTTTCTTATTACCCAAATAGATTATTGTTTATGATAGACAATTTAGAAAACACTGATATATAAAATAAACAAAACTAAATTTCATCCATAAATTCAGCACCAAAGTTAATGACTGTTAAAATTTAGGATATATCTCTCCAGTTTTATATATCTTTATAATTTATTATAAAATAGTATATTTTAAAATTTCATAATTTTTTTAAAATTTAACAATATATTTCTATTATATTTCTATTCCATTAATTTTGAAAATCATTTAATGGTTATATAAGTATGCTATAATATTATAAACCATGGAATTACATATAAATGTAACATAATGATGAATTAATCCTAAAGGGTGTTATAATTACCCATATAAAGTGCATCTTTAATCTCTTTGGTCATTTTCTTCCTTATTACTAGTACATTTTCTTTTTCAGTGGTAGAAACATCTAGGTGCCCACCAAAATCATTTCTCTCTTTCTTCCTGAACTCACAGCAGCAAATTTAAGCGTCAGTGGCATGTACCACTTATTTTTTCCTCTCATCCTCAGTCTGGAACCCAAATAATGCAGCAATTAAGCATTGAATACACAAATGAACAAAACTTCCTTAGGTAGACCAACACCTTACAAAGAAATCTAGTTTTCTGAATAACTCACTGGAACAGAATTCTACCGCAGACTCACATCATCACTTCAGGATTGTCATGAAAGACAGAAATACATTTCTTTGTTCTGTACGCTATATTATGTGGGACTTCTTTGTTAGGGCAGCATTACTCTAACCACTACCTTACCGTAACCAGTATATCTCCATTTATATAATAATGCATTTTTCACATCAATAGTTTAAACTTCTGCATAGTTGTCTGCCCTGTCAGTCAAGAAACTTTTGTCATAATCATCTAACTTTGGTTCACAATAACAATCTGGAAATTTACAAGCAAATTTTTCTCATTTTTCAAAAGCATAATCATCTTTCTAGAGTAGTCAGAAAATTTATCCCATATCACACCGCATTAAAGCTTCAATATCATGACTCCTAGTAAGGTACGTTCTCCATTGACTTAATATGTAAGAGCAAAAAAGAGGAAGAAATTCACTTCCAACCACTGTGGACCTAGCATTGATAATGGTCTCTGAATTTTACTACTTTTCAAAATTATTTTTGGTTTTTGACTTTTACAAATTTGGAAGTCTTTGACTTTTATGGAGTTATTTTAATTACAATGTGTCTCACTGTAGATTTATCTTTGGTAGAATTCAGCAGGGATGCTATCTGTTCCTGGGCTTCTCTTTTTTGGGAGCCTTTTGTTTATTGCTGAATTTTCTTACTCGTTACTACTTTGTTCATATTTTTTATTTCTCCATGATTCAGTCTTGGTAGGTTGTATGTTTTGAGGAGTGTGTCCGTTTCTTCTAGCTTATCCAATATTTTGGTTCATAATTATTCTTAGTAGTCCCTTGTGATCCATTTTATTTCTGTAGCATCACATGTAAAGTCTCCTCTTTCATTTCTGATTTTATTCATTTGAGCATTCTCTCTCTTTTTCTTAAAGTTTTGTCAGTTGTATCTTTTCAGAAAACTCTTAGTTTCATTCATTTTTTCAATTTTTTATTGTCTATTTTGTTTATTTCTGCACTAACTTTTATCATTGTTTTCTGGTGCTAAATTTAGGCTGAGTTTCTTTTTTCAGTTCCTTGAGGTATAAATTAGATTGTTTATCTGGTATTGATGCAGGATGTTTTGCTCCTTTGTTCAGCTAAATCTGGGTTCTTGTGTTACGGCCAGGAAAAATTAGGCATGTGGACACATTGAAAGGTGACGAGAGCGGAATTTATTAAAAGAAAGCTCTCAGAGAAACAAGGGAGTCTAACCAACAGACTCCCACCCCACAGACTGAATACCAGGCCACCACACAGGAGCTGAAGAGGCCAGGCTCCTCTCCACTGCAAAAGTTGCAAATTCCCAGTGGCTCCAACCCATTCTCCCAGTGCACAGGCGGGCCGGGCCCTTAGTCTGAACCACTCCACATTGATTTATTTCCCTTATCGTGCATGTGTTAAGAGACAGAATTTTTCACCATGGGCATGTTTAGTCAAGTCCCCTGTGCACAATGACCTGGAAAGCATTTGGCTGTCTCTATCAATATCTTCTTTTATAAATGAAGACATTTATTATTACACACTCCCTCTTAGTATTACTTTTGCCGCATTATATAAGTTTAGATATATTGTGGTTTTGCATTTTTTTTGTCTTAAGATATTTTCTAATTTTTCTGTTTATTTCTTCTTTGGTTATTCAAGAGTGTTTTATTTAATTTCTACATATTTGTGATTTTTCCAATTTTCTTTCTGCTATTGATTTCCAGTTTCATTCCATTGTGGTCAAAAGAGATACCTGGTATTATTTCAATTTTCTTAAATACTTTAAGACATTTTTATGACTAAATAAGTGATCGATACTAGAGAATGTTCCATGAGCGTTTGAGAAGAATGTGTATTTTTCTGCTGTTGGGTTGAATGTTCTGAATATGTCTACTGCGTCCATTTGGTATACAATGATATTCAAGTATGTTATTACCTTATTATTTTTTTGTCTGGTTGTTCTTTCCATAATTGAAAGTGAATTAGTGAAGTCTCTATTACTGTGTTGTTATTGTGTTGTCGCTTTTCAGTTCTGTTGATATTTGCTTTGTATATTAGATGCTCTGAGATCCCTGAATCTGAACATGCACTTAAAAACAAAAATCCATGCAATAAAGGCAAGTCATAAACTTTCAGTTGTAGAAATTGGCCCTTAGTAAGCCTTTCAGTTCATTTTAAATTCATGTGTGTTTAAGATTGTGAGATTTAGCAAATAAAAATCTAGGAAGTCCAGTTAAATTTGAATTTCAGTTAAAAAGTAAATATGTTTATTATAGTTACAATTTGGGCAGTATTTGTGACATTAATATTTATCTGTCTCTTTAATATTAAGAGAATACTGAATTAAGAGAATAATGAATATTTAAAAATTCATTGTTTAAATGAAATTAAGTTTAACTGGGCATCCTGGATTTTATCTGGCAACCTATGAGGGTTGTTATGCTCAACCAGATAATTATGCCTCTGCTTGTTTCAATGTCTGTCTTTTCCCTCAGCTGTCTACTTTCTGCCCATTCTAGTCAGAGTGCCTGCTTATATTCCTACGCTTAACAACAAAATGGTTCCTCTGTTTACGCTGTATACTTTATCAACTCTTTATTTCTTGACCTGACTCTTAAGTTTCAGACCCTGATTCAAATTTGGTCATCTGACTAGCCATTTTCAGGCACCTTAGCTGATACATTTATTAATCTCGGAACAAGTGTATATTAAGCTGTGTATTCTTTTCTGGAGCAGTCTTGTAATTATGGCCTCCCTATGATGACCCTGCTTCCTTTCTGCATTTTAACAAGGATTTAGGTGATATCTCTGTATGAGGATAACACTTCTAACATGAGACTATTATGAGTTGTTTGAGAACAATGATGAGGTGTTACAATGATGAGTTGTTACAAGACCAAAAACTTTATGTTACATTTAGGCCGTAAATACACTTTATTATATGGTAGAATAGTACTTTCCTGTTTCCTTTGGTGTTAGATATGGCAATGTGACTTTTTTATTTTCCTCTATAATGTTAGCAGAAATAGTCAACTGTGGACCGTTGGCTTTAAGAGCTAGAAAAAGAATTACCATCTTTCCTCTGCTGACATGACATGTTTAGAACCGTGTGCTAAAATATGAAGTGTTTGAGTGACAAATTAACAGAACCTCTTTTGTAACCCATTTTGAACATACAGCAAGCAAATGTAAAGTTATGTTGAGAAATTAGGGTTGTTACTATATGGCATAAACCTCCCTCATGGTGATAAAATAGCCACTATAGATAATCCGAATGAGAGAATTAGCCAGCCGTTTATTTCTGAGAGGAACTCTAGTCAGTAATTGGTGGGTCCTTCATTATGAAGAAGTAAACCAAAACTTAAAGTAACTGCCCATTTAATTTTAAATAGAAATTAGAGGGCAATTTTTTACTCATTTCAGCTGGAAAAAAGGTTAAGTCTTATACTCTAGATGTTTATCTTCTCTTCTAAAATAATGGCACGGAAATCAAGGCCAGCTTTTTATTCCATTCAACACTAAGAAGACATAACTAATATTAGAAATGTCACTCAAATTACTACCCTGTTCATACTTACCACATTACCTATTAACTATGCATAAGTAAATTTATGTTAATGTATAATTCATAATCAACAGAATTGAAGTGTATTTTATTGAACTTAAGTACCCGATCTTTATAACACAACTAATATGATGTTCTAAATTACCTTAGTTGTTATAAATAAAATGTTAATGCTTTTATTTTCTTACTTTATATAAAAATAATAAATACTTTTTGCTCCTAATATTCAAGCTCTTTAACCACCTAATATTCAAGCTCTTTAAGCAATATACATTATCTTTTACTGACATAATAACTATCAAATAGATTTAGTCTAAGTCTGTATTTTTTTAAGGATTAATAGAAACTAGGTACAGGAAAGAAAATAGAAATAGGAAAATATCATCCATATAATATAAAAATATATATTTGAGCAGATGGAATGAGATGTACTCACAGTATGGGAAACACAGCTATACTCATAGTTGTAATTCAATTTTCCTGTATGATATTATACTTTGAAATTATCATTTTGATGAATAATCAAAAATTATCATTTTTGATGAATATGTATATAATACCTCATTTGAAATAGTCCTACAGTGTTTTGCTACTTCTCATTTCTTTTTTACTCCATTTTATTTCATGTTAGGTGATAGAGAATTTCATCTGATTTTCTAGTTGAATGTGTTGTCTAATGTAACACTAGTACTTATTGTAGTTTCTATGAATTGCTACTCATTTTGAATTTTTTTAATTTTAATATTTGATGGAAGGAAGTGAATTTTCAGAAGTGCATAGTATCCTTACATATGCATTTCTGCCTTATGCAAGTTTAAATTAAGTTACAGATGTTTAACTTTACACATGGTAATTCTAACTATTATCCAAACTGTACAATCACTAACAAATTCATATAGCTGTTAGGTACACAATCACTATCTACCTGTCGCCTCTCAAGTTCAGCTTCTGTGATTTTCATGCGATCACTGTATGTATACATGTATTTTTTAGATATAAAATTACTTGGATTTATCTATATTATCCCCAAAAATCTGTGAAGTTTTCAAAGAAAAGGGAAACCACATACTTGTTGCTGAATTATTTGTACTAGCAACAAGTTGGGAAAATATAGAGGTTTGTTAAGTGTGTTTTGAATTAATGATGTTTGCTCCAATACCTTTCTTTGTACTTCAGTGTAATCAACCACAACATTTGAATTTGATGAAGGTATATTTTACTCTTTATTTCTTTATTATTGGTGATATGCTTCATTTTATTAAAAATATGTTTATTTTCATGAGTTCTTCCATTTTGCACAAACTTATTAATCTAGTCCTTCTATCTGGCTTGTATGTTAGGGCAGAGTAGATGTTCCTTCAAGCTGGCTCAGCTTTACCCACTCAAGAGTGTGCCTCATCCTGCATCTGAAAACAATCATTTGAAGAAGATGCAGAGCATGAGCTCATGTAGCAGAAAGTCTATTTCCCTGCTTATGGGAACTTTCTAGTTGTTATGCAATTTTAAAAGCAGTTCATGAACTATTTCTCTAGATTTCTAAATATCTAGAATGCGTGGGTGGGAGTCCATATTCACTTATTTAGTCAGTTGGCAAATATGAGTTGAGTATTTACAACACATTTCTAGAATGAGTAAGGCATGGACCTTGTAAGGAACTACCTCATAATTTAGAAAGGAAAATAAGACTAGTGAATACATGAACAAAATAATACTAAATGCTATTTAGAAGATACTAAAAGAACGAAGATAGAAGAAAGGAAGAAAGCATGGAATTCACTAGAGGAGGAACAATTAGGAAATAAAAGACACGGTGATTGAAAAAGGATCTGAAAGTGGGTATAAGTTTCATGGTTAGGAGATGAGTGAAGGGATAAGAGAATTACATTCCAGTGAGAAAATAATAAATAAACTCAAAGAAGCAGAACATTGTTAGTGGATACTCTAAAATATGAGTAGAAACGTAGATTCTGAGTCTAGAAAATATTATATATCGATTAAAATTTTCTGAAATTCTGGTAAGGATTGAGAAGGCACTTTAAGGGATTTGATCAGGAGAGCCACATAACCAAAGCAGTGTTTTATTATTTAAACTCTGACAATGATAACTGAAGGATTGGGGAAAGAGAAAGAAAGAGAGAGAGAGATCGAGTTTTCAAGTGATTGCGCAATTACAATATTCTAGGTGATCAGTAATAAAGACTACACATAAAATAGGGGTCATTTTATTACAAAGTTTTCAATGGATCTTGTTATATCAGGGCCTATCTCCATTATTGTTCAATGGCCCAACTCAGCTGTCTTTTTGACAAAACAATTCTTAAGTTACTCATCTAAATGTTTGATTAGATAGTTTTAATCAAAAATCCTGACCCAGGCCACTGTTCTGACTTCATATTCCACAATTCTATCGTCTTTCCCTCTTTACAATAAACTCAATACACATCACATTCCCAAGATAAACCTATTATAATCTTGCATCAATGCATGCTATTCTCTTGTTCTTCTCCACATGAGAAGTTCCTTACTTCAGTGCATCAGTTTATATGTTTGAAATTGTAAACAACAGAAAACAATTTCAAACTAGTTTAAACATTAATGGAAATGTATTGAATCTCATAGCTGAAAAATGTAGATTTTTATGGCTGAG
This sequence comes from Homo sapiens, assembly GCF_000001405.40. Classification (NCBI taxonomy): domain Eukaryota; kingdom Metazoa; phylum Chordata; class Mammalia; order Primates; family Hominidae; genus Homo; species Homo sapiens. The sequence continues at coordinate 56,903,232 of NC_000010.11, forward strand.
TTAATTTGCTACCTCTGTGTTGATATTAAGAAGTGTTTTCAAATTTTCTTTTTGTCACTTTGAGCTTTTATTCCCCTTGAGATATAGCTATCAAAATTATTCCAAGTACATCTCAAAACACACTCCTGTCTTCCAAAAATTCTTCTTTTATTATATATCAGTATCTCCACTGTCTCACAAACTTTCTTATTTTCAATATGTCACCACTTACATAATAATTTCAATAATACATGCTTTAGAATAATATTGTCATAAAATATTTATGTTAATTAGAGTGATGTCTAATATCTCAGAAAATATTTGAATCTTCTAATGTTCCTTTTCTTCCAAGTCCTCTACAAATAAATAACTGCGAATAAAAAAAAATGTTTGAGTTGAGTAACTTTTTTTTCATTTGTTCTTTTTGTTGCCCTGACAAATTGCTTTAAATTGTCCTGATGAATTATCAGATCTCAAGTAGCTGTACTGATAATTTTAAGTACTGTTATTTCCAAAGCAAAATGCTTTGATGAAAACGTGAATCTTTAAATATCTCAGCGTGAGGCAATGTTTCTGGACAATTTAGGATCAGAACCTCTTTCTCCCCTTATTATTAGTTAATTGCATGGCCATAATGATGAAAATATACTACAAGGAGACTGAGGAAAATACTTTCATATTTAACTTTGTTAAAATTTATTTGTAATCAGATTTGAACTATGATGCTGCTTAGATTCCATGGTATGGGTAACATCATTGCCTGGAATGATTTTTAAGATTCAACCAGCTTCATTTTGAAGTTTACTCTGAAATCCCAATGGCCAGAAATATTAAAAAGGAGCTATCCAGGGAAGGTACTCATAGTCAAATCACTTCTTTGATTGTTAACGGGTAGTACTTTTTGAGATAGTGGGAACATAAGTTTGTACTCATTGTATTTTTTCTTCATATACTACTCAGAAGTAGAAACTGTAATTCTCTTAACTTTTGTGGTGACAAAACTAAATTTTAGTGAGGCTAAGCAATTAGCCCAATGCCACATAGGCAGTAAAATAGAGAGCTAGAGATTTAACCCTGGTCTGTCTAATGCCAAAGCATTATTTTTTTCATTCATTCACCCATTCAATATTTATGAAGTATTTACTGTGTAATTGACTTTCTAGAAGCTGTGGATTATGTGATGAACAGGAGAGACATGAATCTGCTTCCAAGGGTTATACCTGAAAAGCACACTATAAAGAAGTGATTATATACATAAAATAAGGAAAACATCATACACTAGTAATTTCTGTGCAGAATAACATAGGATGATGTGAAAAGACAAAATGGGAACTCCACATGCAGATGAATCAGGGGAGTTCTTTCTGTGAAATGGACATTTTAAGAGAGTTGAGAATGACAAAAAGCCCACAATCTCAAAACCAGGGGGAATAATTTCAGTATTAAGTATGACCTGGGTCTGAACAAAAGCCTTATACTTGGGTAGAGAGGGAAAAGAAAGCAGAAGCCAAAGTAAGAAGTTTAGATTTAATTCTAAATGCCGTGAGAAATCTTTGGTGCTTTTAAGTAGTAAAGTAAAACTCTGGCTACTATATTGAAAATAACTCACAGAAAGAAAAGGTTAGAGGTAGACCCCATGGAAAGTAATTACATTAGTCCCGGGGAGACATAATAGTAACTGGAAGAAGGCATTAGAGAGAAAATGGAATAAAGTAGGCAGATATTGAATATGTTAGTAGAGTCAGAAAGGCTTATTTTACTAGTTCCCTAATGAATTAATATTCTACAAATTATTACAGGATATCAATAAATACTTGTCATTCATGAAACACAATCTAGTGAGTTTGCAAATAGCTGTTGTACTATTATACTTATGTTTCAGATTGTATAAATTCCTAAGGGTTTTACTTCTATGAGTGTCTGAAGATTCAGTCCAAAAGGAATATAAATAAACTATTTTAAATGAATACAATTAATGAGGTCCTATAGAATCAAATTCATCATTAGACCACTAAAATCATTATAATATTTGCTGAGATCATTGATGATGTCATTGGTATAAGTAAAATGAAAGAGAAATAAAACTTTAGAATTATTACAACAGGAGAAAAATAATTCTTAAATTTCATAAAGAGATATTGATCCTATTGATATGTTTTTACAATGCCTGCTCACATTGTGTTGTATTATTTTAAAGTATAGGATTAAAAAGTCAAACTATTCTTTAAATGCATACAGAAGTGCATTTTGTATTTGTGTACTAATATATGAGTGCTCTGTAAATTCCGTTACATAATACAAGCAAAGAACTATGAAAAAACACTTGCTTCTTGTCCTTGAACGCTTAAAGTTCTTGTTTTCCCTTATAGTCTTTCAATGATGCTTAAGTAAATTGATTCCCAAAGTGATATGTTTTCAGTACTATCAATCATTTAAATTGAGGAATCAACTAGTTTTATAAATCTCATAAAAATGCATCTCAAGTTCTGGGATTTGATTTCATTTTACTTAGAAGGCAATAAACTAGCTTATTACTAGCTCATAGATACTGGCAAAACACATGAAACTTTTGAGTCAGAGACAAAGACCTTTATTGCTCACAGCACAGCAAGAAACATAATGCTTGTATTCGTTCCCATTGATCGTTAAGTTCCATAGGGGTGAGCAGTGGGGCCCAGGTGGATGCTGCACATACAGTTTGTTGTGTGTATTATAGTTCATTCTTTTTATTGCTGAGTACTATTCATTGCATGGAGGTACTGAACCTGGGATACAGTGAGAATGGGGACTCTTTGCTTTTATAGTAAATGTAAAGAATGTCTTCTCTTTGTATTGGAGGAAGGCATTACTTCATCCCTCAAGATTGCTTGATGCAAGCACAATCCTGAGAAATAATCTCAGTAAAAAGTGGTCAGGGCCTTGGATTCTTGCTATAGTCCGCAGGAACATGTCTTAGGGCCTACGGTGAATTAGTTTTATCAAATGTGCAGACAAAATTTAAGTTCTGAGGATTCAACATAATAGAAATATAAATAAACTATTTTTAAACGGATATAATTGGTGAAGTCCTACAGAATCCAATTTAAGTTGTGAGAATCCTAAATTGTTTTCATTACTACCAGGATTAAGAAAATAGTGACAGTGATTTTTCTCACCATAGCTTATTTTTCCTTGAAGTTTCTGCCTTCTTGCTCTTAAATTTTCTTTCACTGAAATGTCCTTCAAACTTTTTAAAATTTATTCTTCTTACCTTGTGATGTCTATAGTAATTAATCTTACAGAATATCTGTGTTATGGTATTCTCACTTTCATCCCTGGATTACAAATGCAGGAAAGTATGCTTAACCTTATTGTCTAGGTCTTCAGTTGATAAAGACATAGTTCAATACAATTTTGGTTTTTATTCATATTTCTGTTCATCTCATTTGTTCTGAAAATGTATGCTATTTAAGGATATGGCAATAGAATTTGAGAAATTCAAACTGTAGGATATTTTAATATTTGTTTTTCTTTGGTTTTAGTTTTACTATTTCATCTAGTTGAGGGAAATCAAATTGTAAAATGACACAAATGACTTATAGAAAGTAGAACTCTACTCTAAGGATTTGGTACTAATCAGTAGGGAGAATATGCAAGAAGATCGTTAACCTAAACCTTACCCCTTAAAATACAGCTATAGTTCATTATGCTACAAATGAAAAGAGATAGACAGCCCTGACTCAGAGCCAGGTGAACTCAATCTATGTAGGATATAATTTTTCTTATATTTCCTTTTAACTTCCTCAACACATCTGTTTTAAGATCTGTAAATTCTAATCTTCCTACCACTTACCACTTTCTTTCTTTTTTTTTTCTTTTTTTTTTAGAAAGAGTCTCACTGTCGCTCAGCCTGGAGTGCAGTGGCACGATTCCAGCTCACTGCAACCTCTGCCTACTGGGTTCAAGTGATTCTCCTGCCTCAGCCTCCAGAGTAGCTGGGAATACAGGAATACAGGGCCCGCCACCACACCCGGCTAATTTTTGTTGTATTTTTAGTAGAGACAGGGTTTCACCATGTTTCCCAGGCTGATTTCGAACTCCTGACCTCAAGTGATCAACCTGCCTCAGCCTCCCAAAGGGCTGGGATTACAGACATGAGCCACCATGCCCAGCCTCTATCACTTTATTTCTTATCTTGGCTAACATAGGAGCACCTCAGTCATTTAAAAGACTAAAATTTCCCTTGTGTAACATTTTATCCCTTTCCTGGTTTCCTTCCATTCTATTATTCAGAATGGAATTCAGCCTTACTTAAGCACTTCCAATAAAAGATCACCGTTATACATTAGGCTGCCATTTATTTTCTACATAATTAAATTTGGCCAAAAATTAAGACCAATCTTCCTATTTAAAATTTTATTATTATTAAAAATTTAAAAAATAATTACATATTTGCATGCAGTTGTAAGAAATAATAGAGATACTATATACCATATACTCAGTTTCCACCTGTGGTAACATCTTGCAAAACTCACAATATGACAACCAGAATGTTGACACTGGTAAAGACCATATACTAGGCATAATCTTCACACAAGTTTCGCTTGGATTTCCCTTTTATAACCACACTCACTTCCTACCCGCACTCATCCCCTATTACCCCTGGGATCCAATTACCTGATTTCCACTTTTATAATTTAATCATTTCAAGAATTTAAATAAATGGAATCATACAGTGTGTAATGTTTTGGGATTGGATTTACTCATTCAGCACAAATATCTGGAGATTCACTCAGACAGTTGTATATTTCACAGTTTGCTCCCTTTTATTACTGGGTACTATTGCGTAGTATGAATGTACGAGGTCTATTTATTTAGTCATTCACCCACTGGAGAGCTTAAGAGTTGCTTCCAGGTTGAGGGCTATTACAAAAAAATGCTGCTATGGATATTCCTGTATAGGGTTCTTGGTGAGCATACATTTTCATGTCACTGAGATAAATGCCTTAGTGTGCAATTGCTGGGTTATATAGTATTTACATGTTTTCCAGAGTGGTTGTACTATTTTATATTCTTAACAGCAATGTATGAGTGATCTAGTTTCTCTGCATTCTTATCAGCATTTTATATTGTATTGTATTTGGTATTGTCACTATATTTTATTTTTGTCATCATAATAAGAAAGGGGAACTACTGTATTATTGTTGCATCTCAGAAATACAGATAGTTCTCAAACCTGAAGCTTTTTTAAGAGGCAATAGGGTTGGGCGTAGTGGCTCACGCCTGTAATCCCAGCACTTTGGGAGGCCAAGGCGGGTGGATCACGAGGTCAGGAGATCAAGACCATCCTGGCTAACATGGTGAAACCCCGTCTCTACTAAAAAAAACTTCAAAAAATTAGCCAGGCATGGTGGCGGGCGCCTGTAGTCCCAGCTACTTGGGAGGCTGAGGCAGGAGAATGGCTTGAACCCAGGAGGCAGAGCTTGCAGTGAGCCGAGATAGCGCCACTGTACTCCAGCCTGGGCAACAGAGAGAGACTCCATCTCAAAAAAAAAAAAAAAAAAAAAAAAAAAGAGACAATAGATATCCTGTCTTTATTCAATAAAAACTTTTTACATGCTTGCCATGTGTGAGAAACACAATAGTAAAATGCTAAACACAATGCATATATATTATATGTAATGATCTCAATAACACTGCAAAGCAGGTTGTCCTCATTTTATCTTTTTTACTTAAATTGAAGTTCAAAAAACTTAAGCAATCTTCCCACAATCACAGCATAGGAGACTAAATTGGGTTTGGAATCTGGGTCTATTTAGCAAATACCATGCAATGCCTATTCAGTCCGAAAGCATATATTGTGAGTCCATTTGGTGTCAGACATTGTACTAGAAATAGTGAGGGAGAAGCAGTCTCTGCTTACAAGGAGAGCACTTTTCAGTAGAGCAGAGAAAACACAAACATTTTTAATATATAAATGTCATGCTGAAGGCATAAAGGCAGTATAATGGAACTTCAAGGAACAAGCACAGAATGGAAAATCCAGACAAGGTCTACATCTCACAGTCTTTATTCTCAGGTACCAGCTCACCACCAAGACCAAGTGAAGAAAAACAAATGTGTCTGCCGTTCCTCACACCCCCTGCTCCAGTCTCCCATCCTCCTGCTAAGGAAAAGTACAGAACCATAAAAAAAAAAAAAAAAAAGGAAAAGTACAGAACCGGTAAGTGATTACACCAACACTCAATAACCTTGCAGCCTCTTAATCCTACAATCCACCCATTTAATAGAAATATTTGTGTTTCAGAGACAGGCATTCATTTAGGAATTTGCAACATGTTTCATAGACATGAGAAGCAGCTTCATTGGTCAAAAAGATTCTATATAAAGCCAAAGTATAAAAAAAGAATAAGGCAATTTTAAATGAAATTGACTTCCTACCCCAATAACATAAATATGTATGGGTAATGATAATGTGAGAATGTAGGTCTTATGGAATGGTTTGACATGAAGAAGAATCAACATATGCTGCACATGATGTTGGCCTTGGGGATCTTGCTAAATGATCATTGTATTTTGATTGATATAGCTTTGGCTTATACTGAATTTTGGAAACCTTAGCCGCCAAAAAGCTTTTATTTTCATGCATCTTGTTCCTGAGCTAATCTAAGAGGCTATAAAAAGGCTAGAGGCATGAAATCAATCACTTGACAGTTATGTTCCCGATATACTTGGAAAAAAAAAAGCAGTATTTGCTTTTGACTGCCACCAACATGGATAAACTGTTTGTTGGTCACACACATGAAGACTGAACACTTCACACAGGTGAGAGAGCTCAGTGCATGGCAGCCATGTTGCCTGGAACTTGCTCTCATGTGTGAAGTATCACATCACCAAGGGGAGGGAAGATGCTACTATTTGTCATGTTTAGTTTTACAATACAAAAAAGGAAAATGAAAAAAAGACACTTTGATATATATGCATCATTGTATTTTGACTTTGAATATTTTTGTGCACATAGAGTGGCTTCTTGGGTAAGGATGCATAGGGCCTAACAAGGTTTTATGTCTACCCACAACTAAAACTTCTTTTGGCTTCTCACAAATAACAACCCTTTTTTCCCCTAGTTTCTTTATCCACACAATTCCTTCTACCTGGAAGTTCCTTATTACCTGGACGTTTCTTCACATGCACTCTACTCTCCTTACTTTGCTGATTCCTACTCATCCTTTATTTCCCAGTTTAGATGCTACTTTCACTCGGAATTCTTCCCTGACCTGCCCAGTATCAACTCAGTGGCCTCCCTTATCCTCCCTTATGAAGCTATGGCACCTTTCACCAAATCCATATAGCATATCAGGAGATCTATGAGCCCAGAGTTAAGAACCTTTGCATTAGAGAGCTACACCCAGTAATGCGTTGTGAATTCCCAGTGTCTACCCACCCATGTTTTTCTGAGATAATACACTAAAGAGTTTGACCACATACCTCTCACAATTAGCCCTGTTGGTCTACCAACGCAAATTTTGCCACAAAACTTTGAGATTTACCTGAGAATATTCACTTTCTTTGTCTCAGTCAAACCTTTATTTGGTGTTTGTTTCCATTCTCAGTTTTAAAATGTTGCTTCCTATTTGAGAATAAAAAAAATTATTAGTGTAAAAACCTATCTATTTTAGGTTTTCTGTGTTGGAAATAATTCTTTAGATTTTGTTTTGACTTTCAATTTCTCCTCTCTATAAATTAAGATGAAAACATATTATTTGTCTCATCACAAGCTAGTTGTGCAAACTAAATTAGATCATGCATATAATTATTATCATTAAAAGCCATTATTTATTGATCCCATGCTATATGCCAAACCCTTTGCTAAGGAGCATGTATACATAAATTTATTTAATCCTCATATAAACTTAATAACAAGGTAAAAGAACCAGTAAGGCACTGTAGGGTCCAGACCTACGGGGCTTTGTGGGTGTTCTCCCTGTGTGCAGAGATGAGAGATCGTAAGAAATAAAGACACAAGACAAAGAGATAAAGAGAAAACAGCTGGGCCCGGGGAACCACTACCACCAAGACGCGGAGACAGGTAGTGGCCCTGAATGGCTGGGCGTGCTGATATTTATTGTATACAAGACAAGAGGGCAGGGTAAGGAGGGTGAGTCATCCAAGTGATTGATAAAGTTGAGCAAGTCATGTGATCATAGGACCGGCCCCTTCCCTTTTAGGTAGCCAAAGCAGAGAGGGAAGGCAGCATACATCAGCGTTTTCCTCTATGCACTTATCAGAAAGACCAAAGACTTTAAGACTTCCACTATTTCTTCTACCGCTATCTTCTAAGAACTTCAAAGAGGAACCGGGAGTATGGGAGGAACATGAAAGTGGACAAGAATCGAGACCCCTGAAGCACAGCACCACAGGGAGGGGTTTAAGCTTCCAGATGACCTCAGACAGGCCTGGATAATATCTAACCACCCACAAGAAGCTGGTGGAGCAGAGTGTTTCCAGACTCCTTCAAGGAAAGGGAGACTGCCTTCGCGGTCTGCTAAGTAACGGGTGCCTTCCCAGGCACTGGCTTCACCTCTTGACCAAGGAGCCCTCAAGTGGCCTTTATGTGGGCATGACAGAAGGCTCACCTCTTGCCTTCTTGGTCACTTCTCACAGTGTCCCTTCAGCACCTGACCCTATACCCACCAGTTATTCCTTGGTTATATTAGTAATACAACAAAGAGTAAAATTTAAAAGCTAATGATTAATAATGTCTATACTAATGATTGATAATGTCCATAATCATCTCTATATCTAATTTGTGTTATAACTATTCTTATTCTATTTTTTTATTATTATACTGAAACAGTTTGTGCCTTCAGTTTCTTGCCTCAGCACCTGGGTAATCATCCGCCCACAAGGCACTCAGCCAAGATACAAACTAAGGCAGTATGATGACAGTAAAGACTCAAGTGCTACAGTAAACTGCTTCCATTTTGAGCCACTCTTGAAAGTCCTTGTAAATAATAGCTAAGAAGTTATTCCTCTGTACACTCTTATGAAATATCTGTGGTCCACATGGGAGGGTAAAGGCTGATAAATTTCTTGAAATGTCCCCACACAGGTCTGTGCTTTCTGTGGTTACGGTGGGAGGGAAGGTAATGAATGTGGCAGATCTGTTTCACATGGTTTGCTTATCTCTGTAGCCATGGCAATTACTCTTGGTCAGACTCTGAGAAGTAAACTATTGCAATGTTTTCACAGATCTTGAGTATTGATGTTGTTCTATATGCCTGAAGCAGTACGTAAATATGAGCCAAGTCATCAGCATGTTTAAAGTAAATCTAAAGATTAATGATGGGCACATTGCTGCATGGTTTGGAGTCTGTACCAGGGCTAACCACAACGTAGACAGCTTCCTTCAAGAAAGATGGACTCCAAGATTCATGCAGGGTCTCCTGGGCAATAATATCCCATATATAATCCTGCAGTTCATAGCTAGAGGGAAAAAGATCTCCTTTTGTTCCTACAGAAAGAAGACACGAAACATTATGGTCAACTTCTCTAGCCTTTAACGATGTATTTTTCTTTACTGTGATTACTGCATTATATCCATTATACTAATAAATTTTAGCTATATATGTAGCTTAATGTTGAGCAATGTGAGTTTTTCCAATGAACTACTAAAGTAATAGGTGATCATGGTGAAACGGGCAAGGTTCCCTTGTCCCCCTCGCAGGGCATGCGATGGGAGAGTGGCTCACTTCTTCAGTGCCCCGCTGGTCACAACTCTAGGGGAGCATATAGACGGGCAGGCTGTTGGACTCCAACCCCACAGCAGTATATAGGGGCGAATGTTTACATCTGAAGCCCCAGTGGGCATGTGCTACAGGGTGCTCTTTTAGTTTACTGTCTATAGACATCTTGTGGTAACCATCTCACTTAGACCCTCTACCTTGTAGCAAGGACAGAGGGCTTTCTGTATCCTGGGTTCTTTCCTCGGTGTACTGGAAGAATCGGATTACACGTGGGCTTGGAGAATGAGTGCAAGGTTTTATTGAGTGGGAGTAGCTGTCCGCCAGCTGGGGAGCCAGAATGGAGATTGTTTTTCCCTAGAGTTGGGCCACTCGGTGGCCCTGGCTCTCCTCTGACTGCCCCAGCCAAACTCCACATCTTCCACCCCCTGCCCCCCCACCCAATGGCCTGCCCACGTGCTGGTGTTTTTAGGAATGCTCTTCCACTGGCGTGCTCCCTCAACGTCTTCTCGCTGTCCAGCCACCTATGTCTTCTGTTGATGTGCTCCTCTCAACATCTGGTTGCCTATATGTCTGCCTGCTAGGGTCTTGGGTTTTTATAGGCCCAGGATGGGGGTGTGGTAGGCCAGGGTTGTCTTGGAAAATGCAACATTTGGGTGCAAAAGCAGGCTTGCCTGTCCTCACCTAGGTCCATGGGGGTGGAGCCCTAGCCAGGGACCCGCCTTTCTCTAACCAGCACTTCCCTGCCCCGCTTCCCTATCATTTAAAGGGACCATGTACTTCCCTTCCCAGCACTCCTGTATCAAGGGACTGCCAATGCATATGTTAAGAAGTAAACATGAGGAATGGTTTTAAGCTTCTTTCATCAATCCATGGTAGTTCTGTAACGGTGATACATGTAAAGACGAAAACGTTTTAAACCTGACTGACCAAAGGCAACTAGCTTAAGTAAACACAGCCTGGCACTTTGGAAGTTAGTCAGTGAGGTGTGGACTCCCTTCAGTGATCATTCTTCAGTTTTAATTTTTTTTTTTAATTTCTATAGGTCACTGGGGGAATAGGTGGTATTGGTTAAATGAGTAAGGTCTTCAGTGCTGATTTGTGAGAACTTGGTGCACCCATCACCCAAGCAGTATACATTGCACCCTATTTGTAGTCTTTTATCCCTCACCCCCTTCCCATCCATTCTCCCAAGTCCCCAAAGTCCATTGTGTCATTCTTATGCCTTTGCATCCTCATAGCTCCCACTTATGAGTGAGAACATACGATGTTTGGTTTTCCAGTCCTGAATTACTTCACTTAGAATAATAGTCTCCAATCTCATCCAGGTAGCTGTGAATGCCATTAATTCATTCCTTTTTGTGGCTCAGTAGTATTTCATCATATATATATGTAGAAATATTCCCTTCACTGCATCCATGCAAATATCTACTATTTTTTATTTTTTGATTAAGGCCATTCTTGCAGGAGTAAGGCAGTATCACATTGTCGTTTTGATTTGCATTTCTCTGATCATTAGTGATGTTGAGCATTTTTTCATATGTTTGTTGGTCATTTGTATATATTGGCTTAGGCAAGGATTTCATGACCAAGAACCGAAAAGCAAGTGCGATAAAAACAAAGATAAATTGCTGGGATTTAATTAAACTGAAGAGCTTTTGCACAGGAAAAGGAACAGTCAGCAGAGTAAACAGTCAACCCACAGAGTGGGAGAAAATCTTCACAACCTATATATCTGACAAATGACTAATATTCAGAATTTACAATAAACTCAAGCAAAGCAACAAGAAAAAAAAACCCATCAAAAAGTGAGCTAAAGACATTAATAAACAATTTGCAGTGATCATACTTCTAAGGATGATATAAAACCACTTTAATTTCTGTAACCAATGTATTCTACAACTAGCGTTCCTGCCTTTCTGCCTCTGTTACCAACACAGCCCCCAAATCCATTCTTTCCAAAGCTTATCCCAACAGCATCTCTCCCTTAGTTATGTAATCCATGAGTTCAGCTTTTTGGTTTCAGATATTAAGTAGTTATGTCATCTTTAAGTGAGATTATATTTTCTGTCTATGAGAAAGTATATAGTGTTATGATGCATCAGACATTGGTTTGCACTTCAGCTCTGCCATTTACCATTTAAATACTTTACCATTTAAATAAATGAACCAAAGACACATACATATCTTTAAGTCGTGTCATTAAATCATGAAATTTGAGTCAGTTTCTTCAGTTGAAAATGTAAATAATAATTATCTATCTTTCAGAGCTGTGTAAGATTGGAAAAATCCCTATTAGTTTTCTAGAAGTCGGGTAATCTCTATGGGTTAATTGATTTTATACTAATAAATCCAATACTGTTTAGGCAATTATTAGTTCTTTAGTTTTTCTATCTATGTAAAATATAGAAATATATACATATATAATATAATTAATGTCAATGAAGAATTGGACATATGAACAATATTTTATTTCTTTGAAAATACACTACTTGAATTTTAATTATTTCATTGTATTTCATCTTCTTAAAAACAATCTGAAATAAGTAGAAAATGAATATTCCTATTAATGAGTAAATGCTTAACTAACACACCCTTCATATTATATCTGGAATAATTATTTCCTTTAGAAATAACACTGCACATTTTGATAAGTTTTAAAAAGCTGCTTGCAAAATTGGCTTCTTTTTTCAATTTAAACTGCAATTTATGCTAAATTATTTTTAATATCTGGGAGCTCATTTTTTTAAAAATCACAAAACACCCTTATTAATGTCTAGAAAAGAAGAATGAAAGCCTGCAAATAATATAGACTCTTGGACCAGCCATTCTATGAGCACACAGTCTGTAAAGAGCGAGAGCTGCCCATTATGCTAGTGATGATGATAACCCATAAGTTATTCTACCTCTGAATTTAGGAAAACAATCACTTAAACTCCCCCTGTCTAGTGTAAACATAGCCTTTCTTCACAAATGATATTGTATATTTTATACCGATAGTCTACCTTTCAGCCAGTTCTCACACTTACATCTGGAACTGGCCAAAGTGTCTTCAACAAAGTCTGAGGTGATTCTCTAGAGAAAGAAAGTGCTTTGCTCAAAGTGTTCACCAAGTGCTAGAGATTCACCTATGTTTAAATAAAAGTGGGTTAAAAAAATAAATCTCTTGACAGCAGTGGAGTAAGAGGGTATAACTCATAATTAATGGTAAAAGAAAATACTCTCTTCTCTTCCTCTATTACCCTTTCCAGATTTCAGGTCTTAAAAGAATGTAGACTTGTATTGCTCATTTATATACAATTTTTATTTCTCTCCTTCCTGCTTTTTAGAGTTCCTTCATCTTTTAGACAAAAGTCCTCAGAATGAGTCTAACTCTGATAATGTAATTAAAACCTTGGGTTTCAGAACCTCAGATTTCTTGTTAGCAAAAATATGATAAATACAAAAAAATGCCTAGTTGCACAGTGGCTTGCACATAATAGGTGCTTAATAAATGCTTATTACTACTGTTACCAATAATGTTGCTTTGATGATTAAATAAAGTAATATCTTTCAAATTATCTAGCAATGCTGACCAAAATGAGTAAAAATTCACTTACTTCTGGTTTGCTAAATTAACAAAGGTTAAAGTAGCTATCTCTTAGAGCAGTGTAATGATCAATTTACCTACCTAAAATCAAAAAGAAACCTTTTTGACAAAAAATGGGAAACAAATACGTGGTGCTTAAGTGAGATCTCATGAACTGATTTTATATTTGACCACCTTACTGTGGAACTTGTGCGGAATGAATCAACATACGTAGTTTCCATATAAACAAAAACAAAGCCTTTTTAATGCGAAAACTGGGATTCATAAATAAACATACAATGTGTGTATTCATAGGACACACAATGAGATGAATGAATCTCAAATAAAATAAAATATAGATTTTATTTGTAGTTGAAAGGAAATGTTATCTTTTTGCTCTCCCAGGCATAGCATTTTATAAACTATTATTTTATCATCCTGGTAAATGGAGAAATAATCTGATACCCAAAAATTTTAGTGAAGTCATCTGATTTAGAGTACATACTCCTTTAAAATAATGGTGGAAGATTCTTACATGCATATAAGAAACTTTATTAAAATTTTTAAAATTTTTATTCTAATAAGCAAAAAAATAAATGAGTAAAGAGTTGCAAAAAAATTCTCTCTCTCTGGGCTCTCTTGGTCTTTTAAAAATCTTGAGGGACCATAATTAATCTGAGAAGAAGGAGTGACCTAGTCTATTTTGGGTTGCTATAAGGAAATACCTGAAGGTGGGTAATTTATAAAGAAAGAATGTTTATTTGGCTCAGATTCTGATAACTGAAAAGTTCAGTATTGGGCATCTGATTCTGGTAAGAACCTCAGGCTGTTCCTACTCATGACAGATGACCAAAAGGAACTGGCTTGAGCAGAGATCACCATGCTGAGGGAGAAGAGGAAAGAAAGAAAGGGAAGGTGCCAGACTCTTTTGAACACCAGCTCTCTGGGAACTAGCAGAATGAGAATTCATTCACCCCTTAGGGAGGGCATTAATCTATTCATAAGGGATCCTCCCCCATGACCTAACACCTCCCTTTAGGCCCTACCTCCCCACACTGCCACACTGGGGATCAAATTTCTGCATGAGATTTGGTGGGGATGAACAAATCATATCTAAACCATAGCACAGAGAGATGCGGAAGATCACATGGAAGGAAAAGAAGTGTTCCATTGTGGTCCAAATCAGTCACTCTCGCTGTTGGTCAGCAGTCTTCTATTCCATTATATTGTCAGGTGGTTTCCTTAACCTTCCTGCAAGCAATCTGTGCTGATTACTCAAGGAATGAGGACGCTTGTCTTCCTTTTTCTTATTTATAAAACAAGTGGACAGTTTTCAGTTGTTAATCAGAATGTGAGAAGTCTGTAGAAATGTGTTTTAGGCGTTTCAGAGCAATTGAGACAATCATAAGCAATATGTGGTATAATTCTACAATATTATTCTTCTCTGCAATAAAAAGGAACTAAGAACTACTACACAAAATGAAATGAATGAATCTCAAAGATTCATAAGCCAGATATGAAAGACTGCATTGTGTATAATTTCATTTTCATGAACTTTCTAGAACAGGAAAAGCTAACCTATGGTGGAAGAAATACAGGTTTTCCTGGAGAAACTGAGGGGTAGTAGCTGTTAGATGACTGGGAAAGGATACAAGGAGTCTTCTGTGGTGACTGAATGTTCTGTATTTTAACAGGGTTTTGAGTGTTACACAAGTGCATGCATTTGTCAAAACCCATCAATCCATACCACTGAAAATCTGTGCATTTGTTTATTTGTAAATTGTACTCCTAGAATAAATTTTGGGAAAAAAGTCTTACATTCCTGCACTTGTGCATCTGTCTACTACAATTTCATCTCTTGTGCTTCTCTTCTAAGTCCTGTATGACTACATTATATTTTACAATTTAAAATATCTAAAACCCAGCTGAAAAAGAAGTGTGTAACGTGGTCACAGGCATGGAAGGAAAAGGAAAGTATATCAAGTGCTAACTGACAGCTCACAGCAGTGTATCCTCTCACCATTATGGATGAGGCAGGTTCGCAAAATCAAATGCTTCCACAGTTGATGCTTTATAAATAAAAAAATGGATTGCCTGAGGGAATACAAGATAATCTAAATGGACCAGCCAACTGCTGACATCTAGAAATTTAAGTACAGGGTGGCCAGGTTTCTAGATTTCTCAAGTGAAACTAGATATATATTTTACAGAAATTAAATCTCTAGTTTCAAATATGAATTCAAATATTTTTCACCAATTTCAAGTCAAACAAAGTCTGTTGATAACCAGGATACATGGATCATAACATTGTAAGCAATATAATACAGGGAAGTCACCTAATCCCTATGGATTATCTGTGAACTTCTGTATTCTGCTAAAGCAAATCAACAAATGTTTTTTGAAGGAACGAAAGCCTTTGAGTCTTGTTCATATCAACTCACTGCCCTTTAAAGTTTTTTATTTCTATTTGTACTAAACTTTAATTTCTAAATCAAAACTTCCTATATTTAAAGTTTTGCTAGCAAAGCACATTAGCTCTACAAGTTGGTACTACAAGTGTACGAAAGTGCATAATAATACATAGAGAATAATAGAGAACTAAAAGTTTAAATTTGGCATTCTGCCCACTTATTATCTACTCTTCTGCAAACTTTTGCAGTATTTGTACTTTCTCTGGTCATGTCTTTTCAGCTTCCGCGAGTGCAATGATTCTCCTTAACTATCACCAAGTCTAAGGTGAAACCATAGGTCATGCATATGGCCCACTTCCTTCTTCCCTCAGGTTTCCATTACAGAGCAGGAATTTTTAAAAGATATTCAACAGCTAATTCCCACCCCCAACAACAGCTAATTTTACAGATTATTATTTCAGAAGAGGATCGATGCAAGCTAAAATGCTCTCCTTTTTTTTTTGTCTATGCCATATTAATGGAGATATTTCCTTAAAGGCATCCAATTAGAATATAAGCTCTCCAAAGGTAGAGGCTAAGTCTGTTTTGTTCAATGCTGCATCCTCAGCCTCAGCCCTTGGAATAGTGTCTGACACTCAGCAGACTCTCAAAAATATTTCTATCAGAAAAAAAAAAAATAGTTGACCGGGTGTGGTGGCTCACGCCTGTAATCCCAGCACTTTGGGAAGCCGAGATGGGAGGATCACTTGAGGTCAGGAGTTGGAGACCAGCCTGGCCAACATGTGAAACCCTGCCTCTACTAAAAATACAAAAATATTAGCCAGGTGTGGTGGCACATGCCTGTAATCCCAGCTACTCAGGAGGCTGAGGCCGGGGAATCACCTGAACCCAGGAGGTAGAGGTTCCAGTGAGCCGAGATCGCACCGTTGCACTCAGTCTGGGGGACTGACTGAGACTGTCTCATATATTTGTGTTAACATATGAACTTGTTTTGAATACAATTTTTGTGTCATCAAGAATGTGATGGAAAGATACCCACCAAATTGTTAACATTTGTTATTTCAGAGTTGGTGGAGTAGAAATGGGGTAGAGTGCAATTATTATTTGTTTCAGTATTTTTATCCTTTATTATTATAACAAGCTTGCATTATTTGTTTAAATTAAGACTAAACCTTATAAATAAAAGCAAAAATATTTTACTAGTATCTCATGAGTTACAAAACACCAATTTGGGGAAAAACTGGAATCGACACAGTGAGAAATGAAATAATACTTAGCAAGACTTGGACAAATACACAACTTTGGAGGCAAGAAATAAAATAATTAATAACTATACAAAAGCTGGAATTTGGCAAATGTTGACACAATTTAGCCTAAATAAAAGTAGCATGAAAAACGTAACTATTTTGTCACCTTTTACATTCTTGTTTGTTGAGGGTCCACTATTTGTCAGGCTCTGTGTTAATCTCTATAAAGTCGTTAGCTCACAACATCAAACAAAGTAGGATGAGTTCTCTAAAGTTTAAAAGTGTTACATATAATATGCTCCACATCACTTGGATCATAATGAGCCAGAATTTTTTTTTTTCTTTTGAGACGAAATCTCACCCTGTCACCCAGGCTGGAGTGCAATGGAGTGATCTTGGCTCACTTCATCCCCCGCCACCTGGGTTCAAGCAATTCTCCTGTCTCAGCGTTCTGAGTAGCTGGGATTACAGGCACGTGCCACCATGCCTGGCGAATTTCTTGTATTTTTAGTAGAGACGGGGTTTCACTGTGTTAGCCAGGATGGTCTCAATCTACTGACCTCGTGATCCGCCCGCCTCAGCCTCCCAAAGTGCTGGGATTACAAGCGTTTGAGTCACCGCGCCCGGCCAATGAGCCAGAATTCTAACCTGTCTGCTCAGCTCCAGAACATATGCTTAGCACTGTTACATTTATGTTAAATTAAACCCAATTTCCTTTAGATAATGATATCTTTGGGATGGGGCACATATTTTCCCCAGCTCTATAACCTAGCTGTATTTCATTTTATACATAATTTTTTTCACTCACTTCATTCACTGTGTTGTTCTTAACTCTGTCTTGCCTCTCTTGAGTAACTGCCACTCCAGATCATCCCCCAGTTTATCACCCAAGCAATAAACCTAGGAAGCTTCATTAACTCATCCTTATGACTCACACCTCATCAACTCCTGTGTAATCTATCTCCCTGATGAATCTGAAAATCACTACACCTCTAAGGCAGTGCTTCTGAAGTAGCCTTTAATTCTGTCTTGGATACTTTGAAAAAACATTTTTTGCTTTTTATAAATTTAGTGCCTTTTTTCTTCTATTAATTCTCCACTCTGCCACAGATTACATGTTCTAAAATGCAGACATTACACTTAATGAAGATGCTTTTACAACTTTCTATAGATTCCCACTGCCAAAAAGACAATGTCATATTCCTTAACAGTAAAATGCCTTTCCCAAACTGTGCCCAGCCTTTGTTTATAGCCTCATTCTAGCCACTCCCTACTCTTCTCACCATCTACTCTGGCAACACTGAAATTTTTGGTTAAATGAATGTTCCAAACCTTCTATGCATTCTCTTTTCACTGATATGTTTTACTAACTAGAATGTCTTTTTCTTCTCTGTTGCACACTTACACCTGTGGCTTATTGGTTAAATTCTACTTGCAAAGCTTAGACTAAATACAGCTCCTTTGTATTTCTCTGATCTCAACACTATAGTCAGAATCATATGCTCTAACTAGTTCCCCTACACTTTCAAGTAATTTCATTAAAGATTCTACCACATAACATTATAAACTCCCCAACTACAATGTGATGATTTTAAGGATGGAACTAATATGTAGAATAGTGTTTGGTACTGGAGAGAATTAATCATTGTTAATATAATGAGCTAGAGTCTAAGCTCTAGAATAACATGAAAGGTTGTATAAAATGTAATTTTTGAGAAATTATGAAGGCTTTCATACAAGTAAAAAATAAACAGGAAAAATATTTTGTTTATCAATGATGGAACAAGTAACGTGTTAAAATTGGTTAAAAGAATATTTAAGGAGCTAGGCGGTTATAGGCAATTTAATAAAGAAATGTGATTGCTGTGTGAGATGAAAAGCAGGCTGATTTGTTTTACTGGACAAGTAAGATTTGCATTCTACTGAACAAAATTCTACAAGCTAATATGTAAGTTTGCTATGGCTGAGGACCTTTAATTGCCATAACAGTAGGTGGTTTTTATTTTCACTAATTATTGCCTATTATGCATGCTATTTTGGCATTATATAATTTATGCCAGAAAACTTGGACTCCATGATTCTGATCCTTATGAAATCTTGCAAAATTATTCATAGCATTTTTAGGTTGTTATAAAAAATATGGAAAACCTCCTCACTTTTGACCATTTTATCTTATCTCTCCTTTAAGTGTCATTAAATCTTCCTATCAGTAAATGATCACTGTATATCTATAGGTTGTAATAAAGCATCCGTAGTGGCACATTTAAGAATCAACATTGAATGACTCTTCAACTGCTAAGCAGACCATCAAATCAGGCCAGTTGCTGCCCAAGTTGGTACCAATCATTTCATTCTGATTTATTGGTGACTTAAGAGTATATTCGGGTCACGGCTCAGACTCAATTCAAAAACAAACTAGAAAATGAGGTTAGTTCTGGCAAACCAGCCATGTCCAGGGTGAGCGTGCGCAAAAAGATTAATATCATCTTCAACTCAGTAAGTCCATTAGTCCTACCACCAAATGGACATATACCATTAGGTCATCCGGGAACAAATCTTTCTTACCTGCTTCAGATCCAATATAGGAGAATTTGGTGAGAAGAAATAAAAATGGCAAGAAACTAAGGTTTTTACCCTAAGCATTCAAATAATTAAGTCCAGCAATAAGTTAGTACCAGGTGTTAATCTCTAATTTGAACACACCTAGATTTAAACACCTAAGGATTTTTCTCATCATAGAAAAAAAATAATGTAGTTTGCAAAATTTCAAACATTTGAAAGCCTCCCTTACCCACTGAGATTAAAATTTCTTTCTAAATATCACCATTTAAGAAAAAGCAGCAAATAACCAAGGGTCAAATGAGAAAATACCAAGCTCAGGCATTTCATTATATAATAAAAACACATATTTAAGTATCTAATTTAACATACAATATTAATTTGCAAATAAAGATTTGGCAAATAAGTTCTGCCAAATAATTTACCACAGGCTATCACTTTATTGTTTATAGTTTTGATAGTCTTGTTGTTGTGAAGCAACTTTACTTAAATTCACTGAATTTAATTGTATAATCCTGTAAATTCCAGCAAATGTATTCAATCATGTAACTACCATCACTATCTTAGTTTCAGTCACATCAAAATTTTCCCTGACTGGGAGCGGTGCCTTATGCCTGTAATCTCAGCACTTTGGGAGGCCGAGGTGGGTGGATCACTTGAGGCCAAGGGTTTGAGACCAGCCTGGTCAAAATGGTGAAATCCCGTTTCTACTAAAAATATTTTTTAAAAAATAGCCGGGCATGGTGGCAGTTGCCTGTAATCCCAGCTACTCGGGAGGCTGAGGCAGAAGAATTGCTTGACCCGGGAGGTGGAGGTTGCAGTGAGCCGAGTTCATGCCACTGCACTCTGGCCTGGGCGACAAAGCAAGACTCCATATTAAAAAAAAAAAAAAAGTTTCCCTGTGTTCCTCTGGAATCAATCCTCTCCCCTCTTTACTCTGGCCTATGGCAAGCATTGACCTGTTTTTGGTCCCTATAGGGTTGGTTCCCATAGATTCCTTTGTTTTTGGAATGGTGTTATATGTAGCCTTTTGTTTCTTGCTTATTTCACTTAGCTTGGTGTCTTCTGGCTTGCATAGTTTCTGATGAGAAATGAGCAATTATTCTTATTGTTCTGTATTAAATATATTTTTCTGGCACTTTTAATGTCTTTATCACTAGTATGCAGAAACTTGATTATAATGTGACTTAAAATTATTTTTGTATCTTAATTTTAGCTTATTGACCTTCTTGCATTTGACCTTCTTGCATTTAAAGTTTTCATCAGATTTGAAAATTAGGGGGCTATTGTCTTTGTATAGATGGGGGTCTCGCTATGTTACCCAGGCTGGTCTCAAACTCCTGGGTTCAAACAATTCTCCCACCTTGGCTTCCCAAAGTACTGGGATTACAGGCATGAGCCACTGTGCCTGGCCTGGGTATTTTTCCTTCAGATATTTTTCCTGCAACTTTATTTTTCTTCTTCTCTGACTCCACTTACATGAAAAATTGACTGCTTAAAATTGTCCCACAGATTATCTATGGTCTTTTTGTTTTTAATTCAGTCTTTTTCTGTATCTCATTTTGGATAATTTCTATTACTATGTGTTTCAGTTCACTGATCTTTTCTTCTGCAGTGTCTAATCTGATGCTTGTCTCTTCCAGATTTATTTCCCTTTATTTAAAATACATCTAGATATTCTATCTAAGTCTTTTTATGTTTATTTTTCCTTCTCATCAGTTTAAACTTTCCCTTTGTTTTCTCAAACATAGGGAGCATGTTTATAATAGCTTTGTTTTTTTCTTTTTCTTCCGATGACATGGAAGTATAATTGCTGTTTTTATATCTGTGTCTGGTAATTTCACAATCCTTGTCACTTCTGGGTCTATTTCTACTGATAAATTATCCTCCTTATCATGAGTTAAACATTCCTGCTTCTTTGATTGTTGGCAATTTTTATGAGATGCATGACATTGTGAATTGTGTGGTTATATGCTGGATTTTGATGTCTTTATGTAAATACTATTGGCCTTTATTCTGGCATATGTTATTTTTTTCGAAATTGGTTGAATCCTTTTGAAATTTTCTTTTATGCTTTGTTAGGACAGATTCAGAATAGCCTTGTATTAACAGCTGTTAATACAGCCGTACTATTAAGACAATATATTTCTGAGGATTCTAGCTGATGCTATCTGTACTTCTACTCTGGCTAGTGAATGTACAAACTTTCTAACCCTGCATGAACTCCAGGAATTTCTTAGCCAATTGTTTTTGGCTGTTTGTCTGCTCGATTGGGAGCAATTTCTTCTCATGCTTGTTTAGATAGCTCAAGGAGACCCCTACAGACCTCCAGAACTCTCTTTCTCTCTCTCTCTCTCTGAAGCCCTTTCTCCCATTGTACTCTTCCTCACAAATATTAGTCATTTTGGCCTCCCCAGATTCGATTTTTCTCTTCACTATAATGATTTTGCAAGGCTCTGTTTGATTATTCTCTTCTCTGTGTTGTGGCCTAAAAATTGTCTTCAGGCCTTAAACTAAGGCAATCATAAACTTCAACTAATTTTGTCTCACTTCAATCAAAAATCACCGTCCTGCACTTCCCATTGTTCAATGTCTGAAAATCAGTGCTTTATATTTTTCCTCTGTTATCTGTTTGTATAAAATGGCACCATCTATCTGGCCCCTGTGCTTCAATATGGCCAAAAGATTAGAAAACAGAATTGTATAGATAGAAATTTGCATTTTTGCAAGCTTTAAGCATTTTCCAAGGTATTTCTTCACATAAATGCCATGAATATTGGCAATTTAAATGAAAGAGATCAAGGTTTCCCATTACATTTTCTTTTGAATCTTCAGTACACCATTCTTTGCAGTCTCTACTTTAAAAGAGTATTTCTTCATAATAGAACATCAGGCTTCTAACCTAGCATCTGATGTACTTATTTCTGCAATCCTAATTAGTATTTTATAAGGAGTCTCACTCTTCCTATACACTGCCACCTTCCACTTTGGGAGCGTGAATCACAATTGCCCCTTTGGCAACTTGTGAGACAGCTATTACAAGTTTAATTTTAATTTACCCCCATGCCCTTTTCTCTTCCATGACACTCACACTGACAGTTTTACCAAAACAGTTTTTGTAAAAATTTATTTCTACTTGGAATAAAGACTATATCTGTAGTCCTCACATAAAATTTTATTGTATTGTCAGATATAAAAAAAAAACAGAAATCTTTCCCACTGGTAGTTTATTTAAGTGAAAAATAAATCAGAGGCTTGATTTTTCAGTATCTGCAGTTCTTTAGCATTCAGTTTTGTTCAGGAAAGTTGACTATCTTTTATAGAGATGAGCAGACATTCACTTCTTCATTCCTGTCTCTTCTATTTAAAATAGAATCTGTAAACTATGCTCTGGTATCTCCTCATTAAATAGTCCTTTTCCAGCAGAGTTGTAGAAATGACATTATTATTTTATGAACTTACGTCATAAATATGTATTACTTTCCTCACATGGTAATTTATTAACTTTTTTAAATTTATTTTCTTCCAAATTATTTGGACCAAAAGTGGGGATGAATTATAAGACTATTACTATTTAAACCTATTCAGTTAAGATCTTATTGTTCAGTAGACAGAAGCCCAAATATTATGACCTTCATCTCTTCATACATGTTCTGGTAGGAGTTATGACCAATCCTTGTTCACTTTTAAAGGCAAGGGTATTATTACAGAAAAATGATGGAAGAGGACTTAACACATCAGAAACACTGAGCTCCTTGAAGGCAAAAACTGTGTTATCAATTCTGTTTATCCAGTTCCTGGAACACAGTTGGCTTTCAGTGAAAGTCTATGGAATTGCTTTTGTTAAATAATGCTCTAAACCAGTTTCACACACTGACACTATTGACGGGTGGTACCAGATAATTTATTGCTGTAGAAGACTGTCCTGTGCATTGTAGAATGTTGAGTAGCATCCTTGGCTTCTAAATAGTGTCTTACCCCATCACCAATCTTGACAATAAAAAACGTCTCCAGATATTACCAAATGTCTCTTGTTGGGTAAAAATGGACCCCAGTTGAGAACTGCTATTGTAAATACCCGATTGACTTATACTCTTATATCCTCCTCACTTCATAATATTCTAATGTATAGTTATCAATATTTAAAGTCAGTAAGGCATTTACAAGTTGATTTTATAAACAATATGATTATAGAATCATAGATTTTTACAACTATTACAAAAAGATGCTTGGGAAAAAGAAAGAGACTATGTAAACTACCTCTCTATAATACAGACAACAAGAACAATGAGGAAAAAGAAACAGGAATGCAAGGAAACAAAATTATGTAGGTGGGAAAAAACAACAACAACATCTTACTTTCACTTTAAATAAGTGATTTGTTAGCTGTTTGTTATTCAGTATTTTTTAGGTGCAGAAAAATGTTTAGAATCCAGGTCTGCTGATTCACATTCTATACTATTCCTACCACCACAACACACAGCTTCACACACTCCCTGTCCTGTGTGATTTTTAGCAACAAGAATAACAACAAAGATTAATATTTATCAAGCTCTTACTATATTCCTGGAAACTTGGTATGTAACCTGCACATATTTTCACATTTTCTCTCCACAGCTACTGTGGGAAAAAGTACAATTATCATCTTCATTTTATAAATTAAGAGATTAAATAAATTGGCCAATGTCACCAATCTAAGAAATGTACTTAACTAATATTTAGATGTTTTTAGAGGAACTTCCTGCACTTACATCTGTTGCTTAATCATTGCCATATTTTCCCCTATACATATACTCATTCCCTAATAGACCTTATTGTTGAATATACAACATGTCTACTATCAGAGCATATCCTTATTTATTTCAGAAGAGTTCTGTTTCTACAACTAACTAACACAATGTTCAGCCCATTCCAGTTACTTTAAGACCCTCCGGAATATAAATAACAGATAATTAAAATTAATTAAAACTCTAAGACCCTTAACGAACTCATTGATCTACATTCCCAGGCACAGAAATTCACTTTAGTGTCATTCAAGATGTTTGTGACTCTAACAAACAGACATGATCTGTTTCATAAAGCAGTGATTCACATTTCATTTTGACTGTGAGACAAAAATGTGTACTGCAAAAGCCATAATAATGAATATAGCCAACATCTAGTAATGCTGGATTCATTTTCTTGGGAATGTCATTTCACACTCATTTAAGACTCAAATAAAATAGGCCATAGTAAGGTCAGATTAGGGAGGATGCAATAACTCCTCTGTTAGTGGGGGGCGTGCAGCCAAATCACAGCTATAATACTGGAGGTGATTCACAAAAGATTACTCCCCTGAATATTAAAAAATATGTTCTAATGGCCTTAATACAAAAAATCAGAAAAGAGGTATCCTGATCCTTGCTGTTGGTATTGACTCCCTTCCCTTAATAAAGCTGTTTATCATGTTCTACCTGGTAATCTAATGAATAATTCAATTATACACCACCTTTTCATATATCAAGCCATGGACATATTGGTTGCCTTTGAAATTTGTATTTTCACAGATACTTAAAGTGTGTACTAAAAGTTTTAGAATTTCACTTAAAATTTAATTTACATAAGCTACATTAAAACTGCTATTATGACTTTAGTAATGGCCATAGTACAGTGTCATTAGGAAAGGGGCTGGAGATTTGAACCTTAGAGTCAGTTACCTCCCCAGGGCCAGGATGCCTTCTATGTAATTTCTTTTTTAATATTTCCAGCCACTTGAAAACTTTCAGCTTATTTAATCCTTGAAAGACTCTGGTGGTTAGAATAATCTTCCTTAACAATTTTTTCTTTTGATGATAATCAGACTTTTATTTTTATCTGTTGATCTTAAATAGTATCCACTGTATGGCAGGTACCCATTTCCAGAAGATAGACTGCATTCGTGCAAGTAGGAAAAAAATGGGTACTTATGAATCTCCTCGAGGACATTTATTTGTTCAAAAATCACATAGGCTCTATTTTTATGTTTTTTGTAAAAGAATAGGGAGGGACGTACATTTCTGTAACCTAAATGGACTATATCTTAGAGGCTTTTGCAACTCTTAGATTGTATGAATCTCTGAATTTGTCTATTTTCTTCCAAAGCATAAAAAAGATTTTTGTGACTAGAACTGGAACCATCCTGTAGAGATAACAAAAGTGAAGCCTGAAGAGATCATGGCATGTTGCCAAATCATTACACATAGCAACTATGGAGTTAGGAAAATAACTCCAAGGCAAGAAAGAGATCATGCTCAAGGAAGGTTAAAAAAAAAAAAAAAGAAAAAGAAAAAAAAAATGCTCTGTTTTCTGTTTTTTGTTTTTTGTGTTTTTGTTGTTGTTGTTTGTTTTAATCCTGTAAATGCCAGCTGAAGGAAAAGTTTCTGCCTCTTCTGTACTGAATTGTATCAGAAAGAGTTGGCACATATTGTCCAAATGCAATGACAAACATTATAATTATTTTCAATGGTAAAAGGAAAAAAAAAGGATAAAACTTAAGTTTTTATCTTCATGTTTCTCTTGTTATTACAAGAGACTCACATTTCTTTGCACATTTTGAATAGCAAATAACCCTTGCTGGAATGTTTCAAGGGGAATGAGACAATTCCTTTCTTTTGTCATCCTCACAGTGTTAAACAAGGCACTGATTTTCATTCTCCAAGGGTGCAATCTGACTTCATTTTATTTAGAAACCAGGACAGCATTAAACTCAACATTTACTCCCTAGATATTAATGACAACTGCATGAAATTGCTTGTGCAAAAATTAAACTTTCTCTCTCTTGCTGCCATTACTGATATGACAAAAAAAGTGTTAGTTTAATGGAATAAGTGATTTCTGTACTTAACAAAAAGAAAAGCATTTCCAAAAAACAAATGGTTTATTTTTTGTCTAAAAAAGATACCCTGATACCTAAGTGGCCTCCCATCACTCAACACTACGGAGATGATTAGATACTTGGCACTTTGGGGCTCCCTTGTTAACCAGAGAAGGTACCTTTAAAAACTAGAATCTTTTTTCTTTATTGGAAAACACGTCAAACCTAAATTTAATACAACATTTTAATATGTCCAAACTATAAAAATCAACTCTGACAAGTTCATTTCCTAATCTAAATTTTTTAATAGTAAGAGGACATCTAAGGAATATTAAGTAGTACAGCCCAGAAAATATTGCTTAGGAGCTGTGAATATTCCTCAAAACTAAAGATGTCCTGGATATAAGGTGTATTTCAAAATGACACATTAGACTAATATCCATTTAAAGGTAAACTGTTTTTTTACTTTGAGGGGAAAGTAAATTTTACTCTAAGGAGAAAACTATAGTTTTTCTTGTTTAAAAAACAAAACAAAAATCCCCGCTTTTTTTAGAGCATAAGTGGAAAAGGCCATGTTTTAAATGTAATTCTCCATTGATTTGTACAAGACTTGTCAGTTCTTTTTTCTTAGGATCTCTGAATTCATTTCTTAGGATCTCTGAATTCATTTCCTCTTATCCATCTCAATACAGCTGCCTTAGTTTCTTTCTTTATTTCTTTTTTTTTTTTTTTTTTGAGGCGGAGTCTGGCTCTGTCGCCCAGACTGGAGTGCAGTGGCGCGATCTCGGCTCACTGCAAGCTCTGCCTTCCGGGTTCATGCCATTCTCCTGCCTCAGCCTCCCAAGTAGCTGGGACTACAGGCACCCACCACCACGCCCGGCTAATTTTTTTGTATTTTTAGTAGAGACGGGGTTTCACCGTGTTAGCCAGGATGATCTCGCTCTCCTGACATCATGATCTGCCCGCCTCGGCCTCCCAAAGTGCTGGGATTACAGGCTGAGCCACCGCACCCGGCGCATCTCTTTCTTGAATGACGGCAATAACTGGTATGCCTCCACCTCCTCCTTTCTCTATCTCGCTCTTTACTTTTTTCTCTCTTTTTTTCTGCTTTAGCACCTACTCCCTTCACACTTCTATCTAATTTACACACAACTTCCAGAATAATCTTTCTAAAATACACAATTGCTTAAACCTTTTGATGTTTCTCATATTTACAATACTCATCCTATAGCACAAGTGCCTCTGTGGGCTGGCCTAGCCTCACTCTCAGACATGTTTTGCCACTCTCTTCTGGCTTTTTTCCCCCTCAACAAATCAATCTATTTTCAGTTCTTGCAAAGCATCATGATCTGTCATGTCACTGTGCTCTGCCTGGGTTGTTTTCTATCCCTATTTCTCCCATGACAAGGTTCACTCAGGTCAACATTTCCAGACTGATCTCTCCCTCTCTCTATCTTATATATGTGTGTACTATTTTTATCATCTATAATATGTTAATGACATAATAAATGGAATTATGAGATTATGGATATGAAATGTAGAAGAAAAAAGAGTCTGCATGTCGAGTGTCTTCTGTAACGGACCTTAGGTTTAGATTCTCAGTTTATTAAGAGGCCTGAGACTGACGTCTACAGTTTGTCACTCTTCTGGAAGAGCCATCTCAAACTACTCTCAGGATTATTTCAAACAGCCACATGTATGTGTATGGCATTGTGATGAGCTGAAGTCCTGCCCCTGCTCTGGATAATGTCTCCCTTGGAAGCAAAGAAAAGAGGAGTGTCCTCGGAAGCCCCACTTAGATCCTTTCTGACTCACCTGAGACTCAGGACAGTTTTTGGAGAGTCCCACAGTAGTAGTGTCTTAGGTCTATAGCAGGAGTTACTTAGGCAAACTACTGAAACTCAGCCATAGTGTTTGCGCCTGTAAAATTGAGGGGTTATGGGAGTAATATATTCCCCACCCTATTGTTGTGAGGTATAAAAAATAATACCGGATGAGATGCCTTTATCACAGTCATAGTCAGTCATCAATCATAGGTAACTACTCTGATGATTAAAACGAACTCATATTTGTTGAGATAGGAAACAAAAAGTATATCATATGAGACAGACAGAAGAAGGGCCAGAGAGAAAGAAAGAACCACCTCATTATTGTTCCATAACTAAAAATGCTGCCAGTACAAAGTTGAGGCCTGGTTAAGAGGAAAGGGAGTTACTTGGATTGACAGCTACTTCCACCACCAGAAAAGCACAGCACATAAAAAGAAAAGCATAAAAACCTCTAGAGATGATTGAAGCAGGGTGAACTGGCCTCTGGACTAATGCTCCTTTATTCAAAACCATGCCCTTCTCATTAATCAGGGTCAGATTTGCCCCAAAACTCAATACTGGATCTGGGAAATAGCTCCAAATTGTACAAGGGGAAGGATGAGGGTATTTCAAGATGGTTTCAATTCTGTCCTTAGCCTCTCTGGAAGAAAATATGATGACTTTTTCTCTTAGTGTACAAATCTTTATCAGAGTATTTCACAAAGCAACATTAAAGCATTTTAATTAAGTCCAGTATATCACTATCTTCTTTGAAGGATCATGCTTTTTGTGTCATGTCTAGGAATGCTTTGAGTAACTATTGATCCTGAAGATTTTCTCCTATTTTTAATACAAGTTTTATAGTTTTATGTTTCATATTTAATTCTGTGATTTTTTGGACATAATTTTTGTATGAGATGCAAGACTTCAAGTGAGGCTTTTTTTGCCTAGGGATATCTAATTATTCATTTAGCTCCTTTACTTTTTCAAAAATAAATCAGTTGGCCATCCTTAGGGGGTCTACTTGAGGGGTTTCTATTCTGTTCAATTGATTTATGTGTCTATCCCAGTGCCAGTACCACACAGGGTTAATTACTGTAGCTATAAAGTGTTGAAATCAAGTAGACTCATGCTTCCCACTTTATTCTTCACTTCAAAATCATTTAACCTATCCTAGTTCCTTTACCTTTCCAAATACATTTTAAGATATTCTTGATCTATGTATACCAAAACCTTGCAGGGATTTTGAAAGGAATTATGCTAAACCTGTGTATCAACTTGGAAAAAATTAAGATCTTCACTGTATCGAATCTTCCAAACTTTGTACGCCATACAACTATCTATTTATTTAGATCTTCTTTGATTTCTTTCATTAGCATTTTGAAGAAATTTTCTGCATACAAGTCATGTACATATATGGTTAAATGTACACTTCAGGTTTTATTTTTTTCAGTGATTATATATGGCATTGCATTTTTAATTTCAGCATTTACAGTTTATTGCTAAAATACAGAAACAAATTGATTTGTGTATGTTTATCTTGGCCTCTGTGACCATGTTAATCTCATGTATTATTTCTAGGAGGTTGTCTCTTTTTCTTTCTTCTTATTTTTCAGATTCCTTAGGATTATCTAGATAGACACTAATGCCATCCATACACACAGTTTTACTTCTTCCTTCCCAATATAAATACTTTTAATTTTTATCTTATTTCACTAGTTAAAATATCCAGTATGATGCTGAAATGAAATAGTGACAGAAGACATTCCCATTTTGCTCTCAATCTTAATGGAAAAGCATCTAGTTTCTCGCAATTAAGTATAATGTTAGCTATAGGTTTTGTAGATGCTCTTAGTCATGTTGAGGAAGTTACTCCCTATTTCTAGTTTGAGGACAGGCTTTATAATGAATGAATGTTGGATTTGTCAAATTATTTTTCTGAATCAATTGGTATGATCATACAATTTTCCTTTAGCTCGTTGATGTGGTGAATTGCAATGATTGATTTTTTGAATGCTGAGCAAGTCTCACATACCTGAAGTCAATCTCACTTGATCATGATGTGTGATTATTTTCATATATTATTAGATTTGATTTACTAATATTTTGTTGAATATTTTTGCATCTGTAAAAGATATTGGTTTGTAGTTTTCCTTTCTTTTCACGCCTTTTTCTGGTTTTGGTATTAGGGCAATACTGGCCTCATAAGATAAATTAGGGAGAATTCTCTCAGCTCCTATTTTACTGAAGAGATAATGAAAAATTGGTATAATTTTTTCTTTAACTGTTTGGTGAAAGTTACCATTGATATCACACTAACCTGATGCTTCTGTTTTATAAGATTATGAATTACTAATTAAAGTTTTTTTTAATAGTTATAATCCTGTCAAGATTATCTGTTTCTTCTTTTGTGAGCTTTTTGATCGGAGGTCCCTTCCTTTTCAGACTGGCTCTACTTGCTCCTCAGCCTACAGATGGCCTATTGTGGGACATTGTGATGGTGTGAGTTAATATTTAATATTTAATGAACTCCTATATCTAAAAATGGAATATATTATATATATAAATGGAATATATATATATTCCATTTATATATAATATATATGATATATATATTATATATATATATTCCATTTGTTTTATAGTGCCATCCCTCTAGAGAACCCTGACTAATACAGATTTAGATGAGAAAGTACTTGAGAACTGGAACAAAGGTGACCCTTGCTATGCTTTAGCAAAGAGAGTGGCATTTTGCCCCTGCCCTAGAGATCTGTGGAACTTTCAACTTGAGAGAGATGATTTAGGATATATGGCAGAATAAGTTTCTAAGCAGCAAAGCATTCAAGAAGCAGAGCATAAAAGTTTGGGAAATTTGCAGCCTGACAGTGCGATAGAAAAGAAAAACCTATATTCTGGGGAGAACCTCAAGCATGCTGCAGAAATTTGCATAAGTAACAAGGAGCTGAATGTTAATCACCAAGACAATGGGGAAAATGTCTCCAGGGCATGTCAGAGACCTTCATGACAGCCCTTCCTATCACAGATTCAGAGACCTAGAAAGTCCTGAGGGACGTCCTGCTATGGTGCAGCCCCATGACTTGGTGCCCTGCATACCAGCTGCTTCATTCCCAGCTGTGGCTAAAATGGGCCAACATATGGCTTGGCTGTTGCTTCAGAGGGAGCAAGCCCCAAGCCTTGGTGGCTTACACCTGGCGTTGGGCCTCTGGGTCCACAGAAGTCAATATTTGAGGTTTGGGAACCTCCATCTTGGTTTCAGAGCACATAAAGAAATGTCTGGATGTCCAAGCAGAAGTTGGCTGCAGGGGTGGAGCCCTCATGAAAAACCTCTGCCAGGGCAGCACATAAGGGAAATGTGGAGTCAGAGCCTCCATCCAGCGTCCCCACTGGGCCACTGCTTAGTGGAACTGTGAGAAGAGGGCCACTGTCCTCCAGAACCCAGAATGGTTGACCCACCAACAGCTTGTACCATGCACCTGGAAAAGCCGCAGACACTCAATGCCAGCCTATGAAAGCAGCCAGGAGAGGGGCTGGACCGTGCAAAGCCACAGGGGTGGATCTGCCCAAGGCTGTGACAGCCCACCTCTTTCATCAGCATGACCTGGATATGGGACATAAAGGCAAAGGGTTCATTGTGAAACTTTAAGGCTTAATGACTGCCCTGTTGGATTTCAGACTTGCATGGGGCCTATAGCCCCCTTGTGTTGGCCAATTTCTCCCCCTTGGAACAGACATATATACCCAATGCCTGTACCACTATTGTATCTTGGAAGAAACTAACTTGTGCTTGATTTTAGTGGCTCATAGGCAGAAGGAACTTGTGTTGTCTCAGATTAAGACTTTGGACTTGGACTTTTGAGTTAATGTTGGAATGAGTTAAGACTTTGGGGGACTGTTGGGAAGGCATAATTGTGTTTTGAAATGTAAGGTCATGAGATTTTGGAGGCTCGGGGCAGAATGATGGTTTGGCTGTGATCTCACCCAAATCTGATCTTGAATTGTAGTTCTCATAATCCCTACATGTTGTGGAAGGGACCTGATGTGAAGTGATTGAATCATGGGGAAGGTTTCCCCCATGCTGTTCTCATTATAGTGAGTCTCACAAGAGCTGATAGTTTAATAAATGTCTGGCATTTTCCTTTCTTGCAGTCATTCTCTGTTCTGCCACCATGTGAGGAGGTGCCTTCTGAGGCCCCCCCAGTCATGCAGAACTCTGAATCAATTAAACTTCTTTTCTTTTTAAATTATCCAGGTTCAGATATTTCTTCATAGCAGTATGAGAATGGACTATAACACTGGGCAACATTAAAAAAGAAAATAAAAGTCTGCCCTTCATTGGCTTCTCTATGTGAATAAAGGAGAAGTAGATTTCTTATAAATCTGCTTGAGTGTCAAGAAAATATATACATTGTCTGAAGTGCATGTAAGTGGCATAAGTTTTATACATTTCAATTTGTTTTTTAGAGAAATAGAGCTTTGCAAATTTCTTTTTTCTATACAAGTCACCTCCAAGGATACAGTGCTAAAGACTGAATTTAGGCTTTTGGTAGTGAGGATGAAATATATTTAAGGAAAAACACATTTCATTTTAACATGCTCTTTCAAATTTCTCCTAAGCATTTTAAGAACATCTAATATCAGAAGTGCTGGAAAATTAATTAATTTCCCAGAGAAACATTATTGACTACAAAATGCTGTGCTGTAGAACCTAGCCTATTAACAAGGTTCTTATTGAAACATCTCTTCAATTTTCTTACTACTGTAGCAAGGTCAGCAATTGCTGACCTCTGAAGCTTCTTTTGATATTTTCTGTAACTCCAAGCCATACAATGCATTAGGAGAGACATTCTATGAGACTAGTTGATAAGTAGTAGCTGCATATTCACAACTGGTGATCCCATGGGTGTCAAGCAAAGAGTTGTAGGAGACGGGGCCGCTTCCTACCTCATCACCACCTTATTATTCTTTTGTGTAAATGCTTGCTTTTGTGGGAGCCATGGCTATAGGCCGATGCTAAAAAATCACTGGCATGATGCAGATTGATTAATAGGACAAAAGGCAAACAAATTTATTTACTTGTATACATGGCAGCCTTGAGAATAAAGACCCAACTTCCCAATGAGATACAGAAACTTGTATACCATTGTGAAGTTACAAAAAGAATGGGGGCTTGAATTCTGGTAAAACAGGTTATGGAACAGAGGCAAAGAGGAATTCTACTGAGGGGCAATAAATGATTGCTAGGGAGAATGATTGGATAGGGAACAGAGATTGATTTGTAAATAATTTTATTTGTGACTTAAATAATCTTTGGAGACAGTCATTATCATAAAAGGTCTGCTCAGGTGTGATCACAACTTGGCCTTCTTTTCTGCAATAGATAATGAGACAATAAGGAGGGAAGAAAGAGCAATTGTTCTCCTTGGTGGGTCTGAATCTCAGGCAGATAAAGAAACTTCAGGTTTTTTTGGAAGAGACATGAAGGAGGGGTCTAGATTAAGAGAAGGTTAGAGAGGCCCTGAGGTTTCCTCAGTTCAGTATATCAAAATGCCACATTTTAGGTTATTGGTTTCTGAGCCCCCGCCATTTCCCTGTCTTAAGCTTTCCTAGATCTTTTACACAATGAAAGCTGAGTTGGTGGCTGTGAAAGAGAAATAAATATGAGTTAAAAGCAGAGTGACAATGGATTCCATTTAACCAGTTTTGGGATGAACCATTTCCATTAAGCAATTGTGTCTCATTTTAGAAGATAGTATCACACACTGTCTTTCAAACAGAAGAAAAATGTAGGTTATTGTTGGAAACAATCCATAAACTAGTTTCCTTTTCCTTCAAGTCTGGAAGTCAGTCAGTTGAAGTGTCTAGATTTCAGACTCAAAATTTCTCTGGTTAAATAGGAAGAAGGTGGTGGCAAGTTGACAAGTTTCTCTTGCCTGTGTCACAAGTATGAGCTTCAGCTTGCAGGGTCTCAGGAAAAAGGTAGTAGCAATTTCATTTATTCCAAGTCAGAAAACGTAAGAAAAATTTTAAAATGTTAGTTTGGAGGCTTAGAGCCAGAAGACAATTCAGGATTCAGTCCAAATTTTAGAAAATAACAAAAACTCATTAATAATGGACAAGACAATAATCTAATAATGAGTATATTATAATTTCCTTTTTCTCTCTTCAGTCATACCTTTCTACCAGATGCAAATCAAAATAGGGCCAATTAATTTGCAGAATAAGTCCCTGTTTTACTATATTTGGTCTGATTATTTGCATAAAGTGCAGCAAGAATAATTATTTGCCATAAAGGCTATTTTAAATTGGCTTTATTGGAACTTTATTTTTTGTAATATATAAGAAATCTCAGATTAGAACTTTTATAAGCCTCTTGAGCCCAGCCAAGGGTTTATCTGTGTCTGCAGATACCTGTATAAGTTGGGTGAATTCCTCTCTTCTTGGGGTTCAGAATTACTTGAGGTTTCTGGGCCTGTCAAAAAGTTACATTCTTTGCTTACCACAGGTTAGAAACCCTGTAAAGTAACTAAATAGATAAGTAAAAAGGCTGATTTTTCCAAAAGACTTTTATTGGTTCTGTAAGTCTGCATCAATTCCTCAAAACAATCTGCTCATTTCTGAAAATATGCCATTCCAGTCAAAGGCTTCATAAAATAACTAGTGTCTCTAATTATGCCCTGTTACAACAGAAAACAGATTCTTAATAAACTTATGCAAATAACTATATTGCCATAAATTAGAAATACATATACTTTCCAAATTCTGGAGGAAATAGGTAAAGAGGAAGAAATGTGCTTTCAGTTTTTCTCAGAAGATTATACTTTACTTAAGTGTTAAAAGCTGTAAACACAAGTTCAAAAGGAAAAAAAAGTTTTTTTGACTCTGAAAATCAAGACAAAATGCAACACTTCAAATAAAAAAGTTACTTAAAAGTATTTTAGTCTTCTGGTAGTTCAGTTCCATTCAATTAATTCATTCCACCATTTTTTAATTAGAGTTTTGGAAGGTTTATATTTCTTTTCTTTCCCTAGTCCAATGACACAATCTCCAAAGTCATCAGAAATCTGCATTCAAGAGCACCCATCAGAGTCCTTTCCATGAACTTCTCTAAAGAATAAGTAAATTTTGAACTGTATATGATTATAAATCTTTTTTGTGAAAAGAATAAAAGTAAAAAATAAGTCTTATAAACCTCATTGATCAGGATATTTATTTGTTGTACATGATAGGTTTGCCACCAAGTTTGCTATATTAAATTGACTTTATCAAATTGTAATGTCAAATAAATAATTACTTCCAGGCTTAAGCAAACTGATTAAAAATTTAATAAGAAATATATATATATAAATTGGAAATTACAATATCCATAGAATATTAAGTTTAAAGAGGCCAAGAGAACATTTAATCAAACTCATTTACTTTATATACACACACAAAATGAAGGTACTAGATATATTGAAGTCTTTTCCATTAAATCTGCATTTTAACAATTTTCTCACATAAGTAATATAGTATAAAATATTTTAAAACTGCTACTCTAGCACTATTTTTGTTTTCTATAAAATATTAAATCTTATTTGCAATAAAGATTTGCCCTTGAGATAGAAATATATTTTAATGCAATAACAGGCAGCTAGATACCTGAGCTAGCTTATTCATAAGTAAGTCATTATAATAAATCATTGCCCACACATTTGGATGCATCAACTTTTTTATTTCTCTAACAGCACAGAAATAGTGAAAGCAAATAAGAAAAAAAAATACACTTCCTATATATATGTACCAAATTTACAGACCTCCTGAAATACTTCTCTCAGATCATGATATTAGAATGACTGGTTGTACATGTAAAAAATAACTAAGTGGTATTAATGGGACTCTAAACACTTTGGGATAATTTTGCAAATAATTTTTCCCCAGTGCAAAAGAATCACAAAGATATATTAGCAAAGAATAGAAAAGTTAGTGGCTGAAGAGAGGAAAGGTGTACTATGGTTTAGTGAACTACTTAATTTCTGGAATCCTGCAGAACGCAATTAAAATTTAAATGCAATTGTGAATGACCTGCTTTACTAATGAGCTTACAGTAAATGATTATTCCTAATACTCCTAATATATTCATTGAAAGGGAAACCTTAAATCTGAAAGATTTGTTTTGACTATCAATTTATCATTATTACAACCTTTCTTTGCTTGGGTAAAACATACATGCTATTCTTTGTTAAATGAAAATGTCTTTGAAAATAAACATTTATAATATAATTACTAGAACAATTGTGGTTAATGACTCATAAGGAACTCATATTACTCTTATATTAGTATAGCAAAATTGTTTTTTTGGGAAATTGCTAAGAAAATTAATTTTATATTTATTCCAAGATGTAATAAAATGATTTTATAATACAAAATAACCATAATAATAATAACTTATTATAAAATATCTGCCTCATCAACCTCAGGCCTGATATAACAATTTATTTGTTATGGTCACTAAACACATAAAAGTATATTAGGCAAAATTAGATTATCTTTATCAATTTTTGTCAATAAACTCAAGTTTGAAAGCCTAATCCCTGTTCAGTTAGAAACAATTTTATACTGATAATTCACTCATTTGCAAGAGAAACATTACTATTTGGCTGATTCAAATAGATGATCAAAAAACTTTTAATACAACTGGAAATTATTGTGATTTATTGCAATTTATTAAAAGACTATAATGATTCAAAACTTTTTACATGGGAAAGTTACTTCTCACAGAATTAGTCTTGTTCTCTCACTGTCAGTCTTCCTTACTCTGTCAAAAGGAAGGGAAAGAGAAAAAATATTAAAAGTTTATTATTACAGTTTTCCTACTAAAGTTTTATAGCAAAGAGAGCTCTGTTCCATCAAATTATCCACTGATATCTCACAAGTTTGCCATTAGTGAATGAATGAATGAATGCATACTAACCCTCTCAAAGCAGATGTTGCTTATTGGTTGGCATTTTACTTTAAAGAGATTTCCTTTCTCCAAAATTTGTATACTTTTTTATTACATACACAATGAATTTGTGTCTTACTATTTTATTCAATGTGTTGTATTGTGATACAGGCATCATTTATTTTGATGCTCAAGTAGTACTAGATTTGGCCAATGTGAGCCATTTCAAGCTGGCTTCTCTATACCTTTCTGATACGTCACCATCAATTTTTGAGTATGTTCTTAATTTCTACCACACAGTTTTCCAGGTTATACCTTATACTTTCTCTGTCCCAGTCCTGAAATCAATCATTTCTCCAAGGAGACCCAGTTCCATTTAATAGAGAGTGGTATTTGAAGACCAAGACCTGGAAATTCATTATGCATCTTACTATTGAACTATAAAATGAATTGCCATACTTGCTCCACTTGATTCCTTACTAACTACTGAAGCATCCTCCAATTGTTTTCCTGCTTCCCTTCTCTCTTGCACTCTATACCAACCAAATTATTCATACGACAGCCAGATGTATCTTTTTAAAAATGAATATCAGATCACCTCTTTAACCTCCTTACTCTCTCTAAGGACTTCATTTTGCAAATTAAATTTTAGAAAGAAAAAAAGAAGGAGGAAAGGAAGAAGAAAAGAAGGAAGAAAGAAAAAAAGGAGAGGAGGAAAAAGAAAGAGAAAGATCTGGAGATGTATTGTTTAATATAAGACCTATTATTAAAAATAATACATACTTAAACATTTGCTAAGAGGATAGATCTTATCATAAGTACTCTGAACATAAAACAGAAAACCAAAACAAACAAAAAACAGCAGTGCCAGGAGAAAGCTTTAGGAAGTGACAGATAAGTTGATTGAATTAACAATTATAATGGTTTCATGGGTATATATTTATCTCCAAACACATAAAATTGCATATATTAAATGTTTACAGCTTTTTGTATGTTAATATTACAGTAATAATGTGGAAAGAAAAAGAGAAAGAAGAAAGAAAGGAAGAAAGAAAGAAAGAAAAAGAAAAGAAAGAAAGAAAAAGAAAGGAAGGAAGGAAGGAAAGAAAAAGAAAGAAAGAAAGAGGATGGAGGGAGGGAGGGAGGGAGGAAGGAAGGAAGGGAGGGAGGAAGGAAGGAAAGAAGGAACTAACTTTACCGCAGACTCTAGATGATCTGCTCCATTCTAGACTCTGGCTCCCATCCCATACCATCCCTCATCAGTCACTGGGCTCCAGCCATCCTGACTTTTATTCTTTCCTTCAAACATTCCCAACTCATTACTGCTCCCCCAGTCTTTGCCCTTGCTGCTCCTTCTGTCTAGAATTATCTTCCCCAGATTTCCTCAAGGCTAGACTTTTCTCGTGATTCATAATTTATAGCCAATGAACTCTTTCCTTAGCCTCAAAAAATAAGATATTTTATAAATACACTGAATTGGAATTAAGCTTCTAAGACCTTATTATATTTTCCAAAATGTGAAAGCCTTTAGTGAGGCACTCCTCAGGTGTAACCACAGGCCTCCAAGAGGCTGATTCCTTGCCACCCAGCAGCTCTAGTTCTTGCATCTCCACACCCACTCCACTGTAGCAGGCCTGAGGAGAAACCTCTATATAATAATAATAGAAAAAGTTTAGAGTTTTGACTGTAACACAGGCATGAACATTTTATTTACCAACTGGAGAATCTTGTCTTATTTTTAAGTGACCAGAATTTAGTGGAGCAGAGGAATAAATAGCCCAACAGAGAGAATTTTTTGTCTCTAGTAGGAGATAATAATAAATTGCTTTGTAAATATATCTCTTGACCTGTCATGCCTGCCCAAAGCAGTTATAAATTTGCTAAAGGAGTGTTAGTTATCTTTATCAACTTTTTCTCTGATAATAGTTCCCTGCACATAGGAGAGTAGGAGAGGCTCGTTTATTCACTTGTTCAAGCATTTATTGAGCAACTCCTATGTGCCAGTCATGTCATCCCTGAGGTGAAAATAACATGACTCCTGTCTTCAAAAAAAAAAAAAAAACTTAAATGGATTAGTCAACAAAGAAATGACAATGATCTAAGCATAAGGTGTTTTGCACAGTGTGATATGAACAAAGTACCACTGGACATAGAGGAAGATGAGCACCAGAGTGAAATAATTGAGCTCATCAAGAAATATTTTTTAACTTTATACTACTAAACTTATTAAATTATTGCTATGTTATGATTGTATTTGAATTCAGAGGAGGCAATTATTTTGGATAATCTTCACAGTACAGATTAGGGAAAATTTAATGGACCATTTTTAGGAGTCAAGTGAATTTCTGGAAGGTAACTGTTTGCTTCCAAAGTAAAGGGGACATTACCACTAGGGGATTGTCTATGGTCTTCTATTTCAGAAGTTCCTGGGTCATGTCAGTTTTCATGCAGCCTCTAATACTTCTCCCACCCAGTTCAAGATTGTTACAAATGCTGTATGGAACAATTTATTCCTTTATCCATCCTCAGTTTCTCCCCTATAAGCATGAAAATTCCTTTGAAGAGAAAGTAGATTTTTATTATTCTGACATGAAGGAATTTTACTATTTTCTGATGATAAGCTTTAACATACAAATAAAGGAAAATGTGTGAACTCCCTAGGTACCAAGAAAACTAAAAGGGCACTATTGAATATGACAGGAAACAGAGAGAGGAGATCAGAGACAATGGTTGTACACAGATTCTCTTGTTCCGTTATTTTGTCCTGTTCTACTAATTTATTTCTACTCCTTTGAACTTGCCCTAACATTCCATCTTTCCTCTTCATTTCTGAATTTCCAGGCCTCCTCTCAAGAAAACAAATAAAATATTCTGTTAAAGATCTATAAAATTTCTCTAACAATCTCAGGTTTTCTGTTAAGATCAGTCATGAGGAAGTCAAAAACAAAATGATTCACAGATAACACAGATCAAAATAAGCATGATTTATATTGGCCAACTCCACTCAGTCCACTTCCAAGCATTCTCCTGAGATATACCAGTGAACATTTGGGATCCGAAAAAGATGCTTATGTACAACACATGTTATATCACCAGCATGTCTTGGAAGAAATTATATCTAGTCCCGTAGGTCCCTGGACATTGTTAAGGGGGTAAAATTTCTCTTTTACCTCAAAACATTATCCAGTTCCTGGGAATTTACAGCAATCCTCCCAAGCCCAGAGAAGAGGCTGATATCCAAGTCTACTTTGTAGGCAAACAATACATGAATTTATTTATTTAAAAAAATCTCATTAGTGCCAGAAAATGTGCTTGACATCTGGGATAAATTTATGAATAAAATATATTCCCAGCCTTTGGAGATCTCAAAGCATTCTTATTAAAAGAGATGAACAGGATGTCTGTGTTTTCAAACATGCTGCTATTGACTTACTGGAAAGAAAATGATCACCTCACAGAGCAATCTGCAAAATGTAAAAGATTCCTTGCAAAAATTCCAACAGAAGAAATGATCACCAATGTGACTCTTAAATAGGCCCTATGTAAAGTCTTCTAATAACAGGAGTTATTGTGAATTCTAAAAGCAGGCTCTGACATCCATGATAAAGCTCTGGCTCCCAAGAAACATCTAATCAGAATGAATGCTTGTTCACATTTTCAAATTCTCAAACAATTCATCAATAGCTGCAAATAAAATAATTAATGTAAACACCAAGAAACTATGTTTTGCACTATCCAAATTACCCACGCTGAAATGTTGAATGCCTTCAGTCCACTGTCTAAGAATAATTGTTTTAACAATTTTTTTAGCCATATGATTAAGAAACTTGTTGAGTAACCTTTATTTATTAAGTCATACCAGGTATTAGGAGAAATAAGAATAATAGTTAAGGTGGAGGTAGATCTAGAACAGCCTTAAAAGGCAGCATAGGTAGTTTGTACTTTATATCCTAAGCAGTAGGAAATCAGAGACAACTCCTGAGCAAACAAGATACTTGGTAAAGTTGAAATTTGGAAACTGTAAACTGTTGACAGTGTGCAGAATGAGCTAGAGACTGGGCAAGGAGTCTACAATGGAGTTATCTCCTCTACT
This sequence comes from Homo sapiens, assembly GCF_000001405.40. Taxonomy (NCBI): domain Eukaryota; kingdom Metazoa; phylum Chordata; class Mammalia; order Primates; family Hominidae; genus Homo; species Homo sapiens. The sequence goes on from NC_000010.11 coordinate 56,944,392, forward strand.
AAAAGTAGGTAGCATTTTAAAAAAAGGAAAGAAACAAAGGTAGACTATAAGATGCCTCTGAAATTGAAAAATCCAATGTATTTAGATTTCTATTTTATTTGGAAACTTTTACATTTTAAGTGTACAGTTTAATCCCCTGTGAGTTATCTTTAGGAAGTTACTTACCTATAAAACTAGGTTAATAATAGCACCTATATCATAAGACTATTGAGATTATTGAATGATATAAGGCATTGATAAATATAGTATTAGAAGAATACCTGCTGTATAACAAGTAATCAACAAAAAATGATATCATGCATTTGTAAATGTAATCTTAGCAGAATACCTGCTACATAACAAGTGACCAATGATGTTACTATGTTATTATCATTATTAGAAACAATACAATAGTAAGTAATATTTTATTTTGGATAATATCCTTTCTTTTGTATTCATCATGTTCTTTTAAAGTTCCAGATAGAAAGTTAAAAGAATGGATTATAGCATAAAATATCACTGGATGAAATGACAACTGCAGACACTGTGAAGATTCAAAAAATCTTACTTTTCACTATCTATTTTTAATATTTTAATTGTTTTAAGGTATTACATGATTAAGAAAAAATATTAAAAACAAAAAAGAAAACAACTTATAGTCACATTAAAAAGTAATTAACAAGTGATAGACATATGCTTATTCAAAAGTGAAGATAATAATCATAAAGAGGGATTACACTTTTTAAGTTTCTGCTATGTGCCTGACACTGTTTTAAGCTCTTTCATATATTTTATCATGATTATGTCTCTGAACTTAATATCATTAGTCTTCTAAACTGAAAGTTATTCCAAGTTACTGAGGAATTACAGAGAGGGTTACAGATTTGTCTACAAGGTTATCCAGCTAATTAGTAGAAGAATTATGAAATGAACTCAGACAATGTAATTACATATATGCACACTTAAATTTATCATTTAAGAAATTAAAATCACAAAGCAAGTCTCTATAATTACAATTGGCTCTGCCAGCCACAATATTTGGGGTAGACGTTTCTGCTAGGAAAATGCCCTATGTCTGTTTTCATGTTTGGTAAGTCTAACTCCATGGTCCAAATAACGCCCACATCTGAGAAACATATCACCCAAGGCATTCAACAGACCATAAGAATAAAACCATTTTTATTTTCAAAAGAAAAATAGTACAAATTAAATAATAAAATAAAAATCTTTGTAAACACTTTGGAAACAGTAAATCCTCCCCTATCTCCAAATTAATGTGAGGATCCAGAAGCAAATAATCAGTGAGTCTTCTAATTTGTTCAAAAACCTGAGATTTCTTAAAGATCTGTCTACTTTGCAGCTGCCAAATGAATAACTGAATTTATGAGGGTGAAGCTAAGCCTGAGCTACTGATCAGTGAAATCGGTTACAACTGGGTGGAAGAGCTGCACTGCTGAGAACTCCAGAAAATGGCAATATCACTCAAAGCCTGCAAGATCCTGCCATGAAAACATTACAAAGTGGACTGCACTTGAATTCCTGGTTCACGTGATAAGTCATTTTTGGAGCCTTGTGAAACTTCTCAGTGATACTAGGCCTTTGGCTTCCCAATTTAATAAGATTAGAGGTCAAAAGGGGTTTGATCTGAACTGGCCTTTGTTTGTCAAAATGATGTTTCAGCAAAACCCACTTTACAGAAAGCAACCATTCCATTTTCATTTCTCGTTTCCCTTTAACAACTATTTAATATCCCAATTTTACATTTATCTGGCAACTCTAAGTTAAAGTTAATTTTATATTTATGTAAAATTGTCTAACTGTAAAATGATGAATTACTCTGTGTTATTTGGCAGAGGTTAGTGAAACATTGAACCCATTAATTGATCTTTAGCTAATTGTAGCTTAGTTTGCACTGTAGCAATTATAAGTCCCTAGAAAGCCTTTATGATTCATTTTTACTTATTTATTTTCAAATCAAGGGAGATAAATATACATATTTTGGTAAAGAAAGCCAGAGTATCTGTGAATTAAGTTACTGCAAACCATGAGTTTTCATTTATAAGTGGAACTGAAACCAGTTTGTTTGTAAAATGTAATAATGGTTACTAATAGTTGCATTTGACAAGAACTTAACAATGAACCTATTTAATTAACTTACTTTTAAGTCTTGGCAACATTTAACAGCCTAGGAAGATTTCTACTATGCACATGAACTTTGGGAATTTACAAAATTGTAAAAAGACGTTTTATCAATAAATTTTGAGTGTCTTCTTGAGGTCTTCATTGCTGTTGTTTTCAATTATAAATTATCATTAATATAATACCATACCGTCATTTTCAATTTAGTTTTCCGTGGGTGTTTTGGTTAATTCTACAATACTTAGTCATTTATATTTGTGTCAAAGTTATTTTGGGGATAGAATTTTCCAACTCTACTTGTATGAATTATGTTCCATAAAGAAACATATAAAGCACAATATGCTTACAGCTAATGCACACATATTATAATGCTCCAAAATATGTTCGACAGTGTGACCAATTACTCACCTGTACAGAATCTCCTGTATAAAACTAAAGGAGGATCATGCCTGGAATGTGAGTGGGGATAGAGTGAACATTATTCTGTGAATCAATACTGTGACAAATCTCAGAAAATTCCATGCAACAAAGAAACTAGTAGATGTTGATTTTCATGGAACTGAAAAGTTGGTCGATATTGCTTTAGAAACATGCTTTATTGGTGACATAATTTGGTGTAAAGGTAATATTACATTAAAAAATATCTGCAGGACTTCTCTGGGAGTTGCTTGTACTAACATTCATTGTGACTTTTTATGAATGGAATATATTTTGTTAAATTTCTCAAATATATTTTACTGTTAAATAACTTAATGTTTTCAGGAATGCATGTGGGGAAATGCTCGAGTAAGGGTTAAAAACCCTGAGGCCTTTCTTACCCTATGGAAATAATTGATCTAAATGTTAGTCCCACTGGGCTCAAGCTTTAAAAATCCAAAATTAAAAAGTGTCATGGATAAACTGCTGTTTTACTTTGTAGATGCCATCAGTCAAATACCACAAAATCACACACTTAGGGAACAAAGTTAAGTTTATTAATTGAGGTTTCAACAAAGACCATGGACATTCTCGAGGTATCTCAAAAGAGGGGAGTTAGGGAGAGGTACCTACATGCCTTGCGGGTCCAGAGTTAGTCCTAAAATGGTCTTGGCAGAGAATAATTAGAGCTTGTAAATAGGAGATTGGTTAGAAGAGTTCAGTGATCTCAACATTAGAATATGGGAGTCCCCTGTGATATGGTCTGGATCTTTGTCCCCTCTAAACCTCATGTTGAAATGCAATTCCCATTGTTGGAGGTCAGCACTGATTGGAGGTGTTTAGTGCATGGGGGCAGATCCCTCATGAATAGCTTAGTGCCATTCCCTTGGTGATAAGTGAGTCATCCTTCTGAGTTCACATGATATCTGGTTGTTCAAAAGTGTGTGGGACTTCCCCTTCCCTTGCTCCCAGTCTTTCCCATGTGATATGGTGGTCCTCTTCACCTCTTGCCATGATTGTAGGTTTCTGAGGCTCTTACCAGAAGCAAATGCCAGCACTACATCTGTGGTGTACAGTGTGCAGAACCATGAGCCAGTTAAACCTCTTTTCTTTATAAATTACCCAGCCTTAGGTATCTCTTTATAGCAACACAGGAATGGGCTACTACAGAAAACTGGTACCAGGAGTGGGGTATTGCTATACATATACCTGAAAATGTCCAAGCAGCTTTGGAACTGGGTAACAGGCAGAGATTGGAAGAATTTAGAACTCTCAGAAGAAGACAGGAAGATAAGGGAAAGTTTGCAACTTCTTAATGATTGATTAAATGGTTGTGACTGAGATGCCGATAGAGATGTGGGTAATGAAAGTCAGGCTGAAGAGGTCTCAGTTAGAAATGAGAAAGTTAACAAAAACTGTAGTAAAGGTCCTCTGTGCTACACCCTAGCAAGGAACTTGGCTGCACTGTGTTCATGCTTTAGGGATCTGTGGAAGTTTGACCTTAAGAGTGATAAACTAGGGTATCTGGTGGAAGAAATTTTTAAGCAGCAAAGCATTAAAGATGTGGTCTGGCTGCTTCTAACAACAATAAGATAGAGAAGCAGGGAAATGACTTAAAGTTGGAACTTATGTTTTAAAAGAAAACAGAGCATAAAAGTTTGGAAAATTTGCAGCCAGGCCCTGTGGTAGAGAAATAATCCAAACAGGCTGCAATCCAAACAGCTTGCTACAGAGATTATGACTAAAAAGGAGTCAAGTGCTAATATCCGAGACAATAAAAGGGCCTCAAAGGCATTGCAAAAGTCTTTGAGACAGTTCCTCCCATCACAGTCTCAAAGACATAGGAGGAAAAAGAGGTTTTGGGGGCCAGGCCCAGGGCCCTGCTGCCTGCTCAGTTTCAGGACACTACTCACCACATCTTGGCTGCTCTGGCTTCAGCCTCAGCTCAAAGGGACCCAAGTATAGTTCAGGCTGCTGCTTCAGGGGACACAACCACAAATCCTGGCAGCTTTCACATAGTTTTAAGCCTGTGGGTGCACAGCTTGCAAAAGTAAAGGAGGCTTACTGGCTTCTACTTCAACAGCACTAAATATATGGGAAAGCCTGGTTGCCTGGGCAAAAGCATGCCACAGGGGTGGAACCCCTGCAAAGAGACTCTACTGAAGCAATGACAAGGGGAAATGTGGGATTAGAGCCCCCACACCAAGTTCCCACCATGGTACAGCATAGTGGAGCTGTGGTAAGGGGACCACTGCCCTCCAGACCCAAGAATGGTAGAGTCACCAGCAGTTTTTTTTGTCAGCCAGGAGGAACCACAGGCACTGAACTCCAGCCCATCAGAGTAGTTGTGTGGGCTACATCCAGCAAAGCCAAGGGGATGGAGCTGCCCAAGCCAAAGGGGTGGAACTATCCAAGCCAAATGGGTGGAGCTGCCCAAGCCAAAGGGGTGGAGCTGCCCAAGGCCTTGGGAGCCCAGCCCTCACACCAGTGTGCCCTGAATGTAGGGTCTGGAATCAAAGGAGATCATTTTGGAGCTTTAAGATTTAATCACTGCCCTGCTAGGTTTTAGACTTGTGTGGGGCCTATCATCCCCTTTTTTTTTTGGCCAATTTCTCCCTTTTGGAATGGTAATATTAACCCAATGCCTATAACACCATTGTATCTTGGGAGCAAATACCTTGTTTTGATTTTACAGGCTCAGAGGCAGAAGGAGATGAGTTTCAGCTGAGACTTAGGACTCTGGACTTGATGCTGGAAAAAGTTAAGACTTGCAGGGACTACCAAAAGGAAAGGATTGTAATTTGTAATGTGAGAAGATCATGAGATTTGGGGAGCCAGAGGTGGAATGATATGGTGTGGATGTCTCTTCTCTTCAAATCTCATGTGGAAATGTGATGGCCACTGTTGGACACGGGGCCTGCTGGGAGATGTTTAGATCATGGAAGCAGACCCCTCATGAATAGCTTATTGTCATCCCGTTGGTGATGACAGAATTCTCTTTCTGAGTTTATACAAGATCTGATTACTTAAAAGTGTGTGGCAACTTCCTCCTCTCTCTTTTGTTTCTGCTTTTGCCATGTGATATGCTGCTCCCTTTCACCTTCCACCATGCTTGTCAGCTTTCTGAGGCCATCACCAGAAGCAGATGCTGGCACCCTGCTTCCTGTACAGCCTTGCAAAACTGCTAGCCAATTAAATCTTGTATTTTGTAAATTACCCTGCCTCAGATATTTCTTTATAGCAATGCAAAAACAGCTTAACACATTGCAGAATTACTGTTAGATCATTTATTTGTCGTCCTCTCATGAAACACCTAGGTATGAGTGAGCTAGCCTTCAAAGAGTTCAAACTTAGATTTTCTCTGATGTCCTTAGATTTTCATGGCTTTGTCTGGTATAGTTTATTTGTTTATGAGAGTAATTTTCCATTCTATCAATTTTTTGGAAAATGGTTTCTTATGGCATTCTGTTAGACAGCCTGCCCTTTGTTTACTTAAATATAAATTATTTGATGGGGCTGATGGGCCTTTCCATCCCTCTCATATAGAATGTAGAGGTGAGAAAACATTGCTGGTGATACCACAGAACTCAGTGACTAGGGGCTCAAAATGATGACATTTAGGAGTAGCTTCCAAACCTTGGAGAATCCGTAGACTCTGAGATTCATTTTTTCTACCATATCACTCAAATTTGCTGCATGAAAAACATTGACATTTCAGGGGCATGTGAAAAGAAACAGTTGTTTGTCTCCAGGTCAGCTAAGATGGTTTTCTTTAAAGGTGTGTATCTGTGGGTAGAGTAGGGCAATTTTGTTTCATTCTTCTTCTTAGGTGCCAGAATAGAGGAGCAGCAGCTTTCCAAAATATGTGGTTCTTGTAGAGATGCTAAGAAAGCAAGCCCAATAGTGAAAGCACATTTCAAACTTTTACTTGAGTCATGTACCACACTGGCCCATTTATCAATGCAAGTCGCAATGGTCACGCTGTATGTCAAGGGGAGAGAAGTATTCCCCATCCTGGACAACATGGTGAAACTCTGCCTCTACTGAAAAATACAAAAATTAGCTGGGTGTGGTGGCACATACTTGTAGTCCCAGCTACTCAACGAGGCTGAGGCAGGAGAATCGCATGAACCCGGGAAGCGAAGGTTGCAATGAGCCCAGATCGCACCATTGCATTCCAGCCTGGTGACAGAGCGAGACTCCATCTTAAAAAAAAAAAAAAAAAACAATGACCAGCTCCTTAGTGTGTCATGTCTTAAAATCAGATGTCTTATTTTAAACCCCAGACCTGCCATTGAGTGAGCTGCCATGCAACCTCTTTTGATCCTAGTTATTTCTTAGGCACGATAGGATAAGACCTGTATGGTAATATTTCTTTTTTTTTTTTTAAAAAAAAACAGCTTACAAGCTAGCATATATTAAGTGATAAAATGTTTTACAATATATACATGTGCATATAACCACATAAATATGGAATATATACATATGCAGACACATGCATAGAAAATCTATCTGTGAGTAGTGGAATTATAGCTGATTACTTACTCTCTAAACTTACTTTTATCCTTTTAAAACATATTATTTTTCCAAACCAAGAAATAAAAATATTTTCATCCCAAAAGCAAACATATTTAGGAGTTTCTAGATTACATGTTCAAATGTCAGAGGTGACTCCAGGGAATATCAATGAATTACTAATTGTAGAAAAAGTCAGAATATTGTTTTGATATCTTCTCTAAGAATATCTGAAGAAACCAGAGAGAATCTTTCCTCAGTCAGCAGTAAATGATGGTATCTCCCAACTCATGTATCATGACTTTTGTTAGAAATTAGCAGCACACAGATGATACTGGTCTATGTATGAAGTCCAGCCTTGACCACATATCCTAAAAATGGTGTGTTGTAGTCAAATGGGACAAGGCAATAATTTTTTTTTGCTTTACTGTATTCATCTGTTCTTACGCTGCTAATAACAACATACCCAAGACTGGGCAATTTATGAAGGAAAAAAGGTTTAATTGACTCACAGTTCCACATGGCTGGGGAGGTCTCACAATCATGGTGGAAGGCAAAGGAGGAGCAAAGTCATGTCTTGCTTGGTAGCAGGCAAGAGAGTACGTGCAAGGGAACTGCCCTTTTATAAAACCATCAGTTCTCATGAGATTCATTCACTATCACGAGAACAGCACAGGTGAAACCCACCCACATCATTTAATTACTTCCTACAGTGTCCCTCCCACAACACATGGGAATTATGGGAGCTACAATTCAAGATGAGATTTGGGTGGGGACACAACAAAACTGTATCATTTACATAAGCCAGTTATGATGTTCTGACTAGGTCATGTCCAATTTTATATCTGCAGCACTTAGAAAATCACCCCTGAAATTTGTGCTCAGAAATGTTTATTCAGTGAATAACACTAGATGTTCTGGGAAGGAGCATGGACAGTGCTTGGTCCCATCCTTGCTCTTACACTTAGTCACTGTCAAATTAGACCAGAGTAGCTGATCTTCCTCACTGAATAGACATAATAAGCCTTATTTAACCAAGTTATTTAGGCAGTTGTATTCAATAAATTTTCTCTTGCCCTTAATTTTACATCTGTGTAATGCAAATCCTCAGGCTTCTTGAAATGATTAAACTAAATTGCACAAATGCAGCATGTAATGTAGTATTGCCAATTATTAATAAATATTTTACAATTATTTACACTCACTATTATTACTCTTGTCTCTTGGAGCAATTTTTCCCCTGACTTCTAAGTTAATTTTAATTGAGATTGAGTGTGCCTCCTTTCACAGATCTATGATAAAGAGTCTTAGAGGTTTAGCTCTCCTGCAGGGCAGAGGCCCCAAATCCTAGATTTCCCACACTGATGGAAATGAGAGACTTTGACATGATGAGCATTCTTCTGTACTACACTATAGCCAAGACAAATGCCAGACAATTTCCTGGATAGTCTATAGGTCTATATTAACTCCTTTCAATAATTTGCTGCTGATTATGAAATTTTATTTAACCAAAAACTTCAAAATAGGAATATACACTTTCTGATGTATGTCAATGACTCAGAAAGGGTGTCCATTTCTCCTCACATTTTCAAGGTCATAACAAAATATGGAAAACTTTAATTTGTTTATTGTTCATTTTCCCAGGACTCAGGTCTTTGTGGTTTTGGAAGGGATAACAGGAAATTAAAACATCAATATACCCACCATATTTTTCTCAGTCCTAAACAAATGAAAATAGTATTTCCCAAGATGTTTCTTCAGTCTTGAATTCGTTTCTCTATGTAGCTCAATCTCAGCTGTGTTACGGAGGGAGACTAGAGATGCACTGAGTCTGCTGAAGTCATGTTGGTTATAATATTGATATTAATGAAGATGGAAGTTTGTTTACCTCTTACTATGCACTTTACATATATAGATTCATTTGGTTTCCACAAAATTTTATCAAGAAGTACTAAAATTTTATTTTGCTGATGAGGAAACTGATGCACAAACAAATTAAACAACTCATCCAAAGTTTCACAGCTAGTAAGTAATAGAGTTGACATTTGAAACTTCTCATTTTGATTTTAATCCCTGTGTTTATCCCCTTTACCAAACTGCTTTTAAAAGATGGAAGGAAAGGCCGCGCACAGTGGCTTATACCTGTAATCCCAGCTCTTTGTGAGGCTGAGGCAGGCAGATCACTTGAGGTCAGGAGTTCGAGACCAGCCTGGCCAACATGGCAAAATCCCATCTCTACTAAAAATATAAAAAGTAGCCGGGCATAGTGGCAGGCGCCTGTAGTCCCAGCTACTTGGGAGGCTGAGGCAAGAGAATTGCTTAAACCTGGGAGGTGGAGGTTGCAGTGGGCCAAGATCGTGCCACTGCACTGCAGCCTGGGCAACAGAGTGAGACTCCATCTCAAAAAATAATAATAATAATAAAATTAAAAATATGAAAGGAAAAATATAAAAATAGTCCATGTAATCCAGCTTACATGAAAGCAGAATATTAGTAAAATGCCATTGACTCATCCGCTCTACAGACAGTGTTTTCTAAGCATATTTTATTTATCAGTTCGTGATTTTTTTTTTAATTTTTGTATTTCAATAGCATTAGGAGTACATATGGTTTTTCATTACAAGGATAAATTGTATAATGGTGAAATCTGAGATTTTAGTGTATCCGTTACTTGAATAGTGCACATTGTACCCAATATGTAGTTTTTCATCTCTCATGCCCCTGCCACCATCCCCAATTCTGAATCTTCAATGTTCATTATACCACTCTGTATCCTTTGTGTAGCCATGGTTCAGCTCGCACTGGTAAGTGAGAACATTTGGTATTTAGTTTTCCATTCCTGAGTTCCCTCACTTGATAATGGCCTTCAATTCCATCTAAGTTGCCCCAAAATATGTTATTTAGTTCTTTTGTATTGCTAAGTAGTATCCATGATACATATGGATACACCACATTTTATCTACTCATTAGTTGAGAACTTAGGTTGATTCCATTTCTTTGCAATTGTGAATTGTTCTACAATAAACATACATATGTAGGTGTCTTTTTATATAATGACTTATTTTCCTTTGGGTAGATACCCAGTAGTGGGTATTGCTGGTTCGAATGGCAGATTTACTCTTACTTAGTTAAGAAATCTTCATACTGTTTTCCCCAGGGGTTGTACTAATTTACATTCCCACTAGCAATGTATAAGTATTCCCTTCACATCACATCTGCTCCAACATCTACTGTTTTGTGACTTTTTAATAATGGTCATTCTGGCTGGGGTAAAGTGGTATCTCATTGTGGTTTTAATTTGTATTTTCCTGATGATCAGGAATGTTGAACATTTTTTCACATATCTCTCGGCCATTTGTATATCTCTTTTTGAAAAATGCCTATTCATGTCATTTGCCCACTTTTTAATAAGATTATTTGGTTGTATTTCCTACTAACTAGACTGAGTTCCTTGTAGATTCTGGATATTAGTCCTTTGTCAGATGCATAGTTTGCAAATATTTTCTCCCATTCTTTAGGTGGTCTGTTCATTCTGTTGATTATTTCTTTTGCTGTGCAGAAGCTTTGTATGTTTAAATTTTTTACTATTGTTCTGATCAACTCTTGGCCTGATTATGGGAAAACTAAGTGCTCACTAGGAATACATAATAAAGCACCAGCATCAGTGAATCCTTACAGTGCTCTCCAGGTAATTAATTTCATAGAATATTGCTTTCAAGAGAATATTCCATGACATTAATACATCCTCACTCTTGATCACTGTCATTCCTGTAAATAATTTCTGAGTTATGCAAGCTGGACTCAAGCAATACACCTGTCTTTGCCTCCCAAAGTGCTAGGATTACAGGCATGACACACCATGCCTAGCCAAGATTAATATCTTAACCATGTAGTTTATTCTCAAATGAATCCACCAAGTCAATGCAATTTGAGTCAAAACCTCAACAGGATTCTTCAGGGAACTTGACATACTGCTTTTCAAATGTATACATTAGTTAAGAGCCAATTACAGACGAGAAGAAAACATCGAAGAAGAACAGACTAAGTTATCCACCTTCTCACATATAAGAACTTATTTTAAAAGAATAGTTATATTAACATGCAAAATTTGCCAAATAGAGCAATGGAAAAAATATAAAATGAATAGGCAAATGTACTATATATATAGTACATTTATATATATATACATGTATATACATATATATACATACATATATGTATATATGTATATGTATTATAATACATATATAACAAGTATATATAATCTATACAATATATAGATTATATAGATTATATATATGCATTATATATATGTGTATATATATATCAATGGGATTTATTTCTGAAATCACAAATGAGTGAGGAACAAATGGACTAATACTCTTAGAAAAATTTTTATATTGTGGACATTACTAGTTCTTGTAAATATCAAGTTTTTCCCTCTGCCCAGGGAAATTCAAGATTTCACTTCCAAGTCAACTTGAAGTTAATCAAGCCATGTAAAATTGTAGCCTATGTTCTGTGAGTGGAAGTAACGTGAAGAGTGGGTGTGAGCTCTCCATTCTGTCTTCTGTTACAGCACTAATGGAAGAGGCTAAATGTTCCAGATGGTACAGCTGAAAGATAGGAGAGTTAACATAGCCTAGGTCTTTGAGATACTTGTCAAACAGGGCCCCACTCCACTATGTTAGACACATACCATGAGTAAGAAGTAAACCTTCAAAAAATTAGAAGATAAACAATAATATCTTTATAACCTCAGAGCATAAAATAATTTTTAATTAAAACACACAAAAAATAAGTTAATTGGGAAACATCAATATTAAACATGGCTCTACAACAAAATATGCCATAAATTAAGTGAACACACACACACCACACACGCACAAACACACCCACATTCTTTATTAGCTAACTAAAAAGAAATAACAGTCCAGTAGAAATAATTGATCAAAGATATGAACAAACAAGACAGAGCAGATAAAAGGTAAATAAATATAAAAAATACTCACTAAGGCTGGGTGCCGTGACTCATGCCTCTAATCCCGGCACTTTGGGAGGCCAAGGTGGGTGGATCACCTAAGCTCAGGAGTTCAAGACCAGCCTTGCCAACATGGTGAAACCCCGTCTCTACTAAAAATACAAGAATTACCTCGGCCCTGGTGGCGGGCACCTGTAATCCCAGCTACTTAGGAGGCTGAGGCAGGAGAATTGCTTAACCCAGGAGGTGGAGGTTGCAGTGAGTTGAGATCGCACCATTGTACTCCAGCCTGGGTGACAAGAGCAAAACTCAGTCTCAAAAAACACAAAAACAAAAACAAACAAACAAACAAAACTCACTTCTCTATTAGAGAAGCAAAAATTAAGCATGTCATGAAATATTTTATCATATTTATCAGATCTGCTAAGATGTACATTTAGACATGTTGGTGAAGAATTGGAGCAACACAATATACAATTAAACAGTTGGATATCAGTTGTTGTAACTGCTTTAGAGAGTAACTTTGAAAGTTTTAATAATTCGAAAATATTCATGAACTTACATTTAAAAATTATATTCCTAAATGTACATCATAGAGGCACTCCATATTCACTCAGAGAGATATGTACAAAAATATTTTATACAGCATTATTTGTAATAAAGAAAAATAGGAAATATCCTGAAGTCATCCTTTACTCCTCTCTTTCTCTTATACCTACCTTCTTCTACTCCATCCTGAATCCAGGCAGATCTATCTTCAAAACCCGACATTTCATCACTACTCCCACTCCCACCAGTCTCATGCAAGTGATCGTTAACCTTCACCTAAATGTTTGCAATAGCTTTCACCCTCTCCCCCTCTACAGGATCTCCTTTCAGCAGATGGTAGTGTCCTTGTAAAAATATATGTCAGATGTTTCTCTTGTGTTCAAAATCCTTCAATTACTTCCCAGGATTACAATCCTTCAATTATTCTTCAATTAAGAGTAAATTCTGTGGTACTACCAAGATCTATAAGGCTGTAGTTAAACTCCCCTGTCCAATACCTCACTAGCCTCAGCTCCTACCCCTCTTCCTGCCACTATGCTCCAGATACACACACACTGCTTTCCTCATCCATATGTATTTATAGCCTTATTAACAATAGCCACCGTACTTCTCACAGAGGCCTTTTTGTCATGATTTTTAATAAAATGGCCAACATATCCCATCTTCTTAAGCAGTTTTATTTTTCTTCATAGCACTAATCACTATCTGACATATTAAATATTGGTTGCTTTCTTTTCTGCATTACTCCTCTAAATTGCAGGCCTCGTGTGCAGGGACACTGTATGTTCTATTGGCTGGTGTATTCTTAAGTCCCAGGTAGTATAGTAGGTCCTCAAATAACTTATTTTCAATATCATTTTGTTATAATGTAGACGAAGGGGAAAAAATTAATTCCCATCTGGGGCACTGGCTGTGTGGAGTTTACATGCTCTCTCTATATCTGTGTGGGTTTTTTCCCCCAGGTTCTCCTCCCACTTCCCACAGATGTGCATGTTAGGTTCACTGGTGCATGTAAATTGTCCCAGTCTGATTGTGGGTGTGTGTGTGTGAGTGCACTCTGATTGAATGGTGACCTACCAGGATTGGGTCCTGCCTTGCCAACCCAATCTGCTTGAATAGGCTCGGGGCACTCACAACCCTGAGCTAGCATAGTACGTAAATAATGATCTCACTTGTTTTTATTCACTTTTCTGTAATGTATATATAGCTCACCTTTATTCAGTGTTGAATATTAGAAGTGTCTTTTTCTTTATTTTGAAGTGTGGTGATGTTTTTGTGACCAGAAAAATGCATTAGAAACTTAACTCTTGTTTACCTCCATTAGCTTATGGTAAAATTTGTTTCATTATTTGTCATTTTGCTTAAAGTTGCAGTTTCCAAGAACCTATCCTCAATGTTAATGAGGACTCACTGTACCTTGGACATAATCAGTGCTTGATCAATATGTGTTTAGTGAACAAACAAAAAGGTACACTTTAGTGCATATAAATATATGCATAGAGCCTTGAAGAAGAATAAAAGAGTACCTCCAAAAAGGATGTCCAACAGGTCGGTTTTACCGAGTTATTCCTTATCCCTTAGAATCTGAGTTTGAAGGAGCAACATGGGCAACAGCATTAGCCTAGGGTTGGCCCAAGGTGATTAGCCTAGTAGGTGATTCCATTAGACTAGGGGATGAAGGGTGAATTTCTAAGAAGAAGAAAATAAGAGGCCTAAGCAAAAAAAGATGAGTTACAGACAAGTGTTCCCAAAGTGAAATCAAACTGTCAATAAGACCCCATGCTCTCTGGATCAGATATCCCTATAGCTGATAGAGACACCCAAATTTATAAAAATAGAACCAAGTGTCTACAGTGGGAGTGAGAGAATGATCATATGCCCTTTGTTCTTGGAAAGGCACCTCTTGACAAACATCCCACTTCATGTACCTGAGCCAGAACAGTTCCTGTAACCAAAGCCAAGATAAATTGTTGCCAGAACTCCCCGACAGGCTGTTTGGGGAAAAAAAAAAAATCTTATAAATATTTCTGGTTTGGGGCTTGGAAAGCCAGCCAATCAGGGGTCAAGTGTCTCAACCAATCAGAATTGAACAAGCGTGAATCCATCCTTTGCATTAATGGACCTGATTGAGAAATGGGGCAGGAATTTTCTCTACTTAAGCCAAACACTTTGTTCTTTGGAGAGTATACTTTCACTTGTATTGAAGACTATGCCTCTCTGGTCTACAGATTGATTTTTTAAATAGAAAAGAAAGCTTTCCTTTTTTCCTTCACAGATCTCATGGTCTTTTGTCAAAAGAAATTATAATGCAAAAGAAATTCTGAATCTAGGACTTGGAGTTAAGAGTTTGAATGCTATGCAAATGAATATACTAGCCAACACATTGCCAGTTAATGGAGAGGTTTGAATCCACAGATAGAATACACACATTTGACAATTACCTTGTGGTCTAGAGCTAGAGTTGGAGGCACACGAAGCAGACAGTTTCAAAAAGAATCAGGCTGGAGCTCTCCTTCTACACAAAAGCAATGTGTGTATGAGAGTTCTCTGATGCTGATTTAAGGTTTTACGGGATGTAGGTATATTCTGCAGTTGAGAAGAATAAATAATATATCCAGTTTATGGATTCCCTTTTTAACCACTTCTTTCAATTCAATATTCTTTTATTCACATTTTATTATCGAATGCAATAATTTTCAGTTGTGATTGTGCATCAGAACCACTTAGGCAGTCTTTTGAAAATACAGTGAGGACAGTAACCTGGAAAGAATCTATTGACTTGGTAGGTTTTCGGTGGACCATAGGCATGTGTTCAGCTGCTATATTTGTGTTTTAGTTGCAGGGTCAATTTAGTGATCAATCAAATTTGAAAACAGCTGACCTAATTTATGCAACACACAAAACAAATGATCTTTGCTCTAAAGTCACATTCACAACCATCTGATCTTTGACAAACCTGACAAAAAAAAGAAATGGGGAAAGGATTCCCTATTTAATAAATGATGCTGGGAAAACTGGCTAGCCATATGCAGAAAGCTGAAACTGGATCCCTTGCTTACACCTTATAAAAAAATTAATTCAAGATGGATTAAAGACTTAAATGTTAGACCTAAAACCATAAAAACCCTAGAAGAAAACCTAGGCAATACCATTCAGGACATAGGCATGGGCAAGGACTTCATGTCTAAAACACCAAAAGCAATGGCAACAAAAGCCAAAATTGACAAATGGGATCTAATTAAACTAAGAGCTACTTCACAGCAAAAGAAACTACCATCAGTGTGAACAGGCAACCTACAGAATGGGAGAAAAATTTTGCAATCTACTCATTTGACACAAGGCTAATATGCAGAATCTACAATGAACTCAAACAAATTTACAAGAAAAATCAAACAACCCCATCAAAAAGTGGGCAAAGGATATGAACAGACATTTCTCAAAAGAAGACATTTATGCAGCCAACAGACACATGAAAAAATGTTCATCATCACTGGCCATCAGAGAAATGCAAATCAAAACCACAATGAGATACCATCTCACACCAGTTAGAATGGCGATCATTAAAAAGTCAGGAAACAACAGGTTCTGGAGAGGATGTGGAGAAATAGGAACACTTTTACAGTGTTGGTGGAACTGTAAACTAGTTCAACCATTGTGGAAGTCAGTGTGGCGATTCCTCAGGGATCTAGAACTAGAAATACCATTTGACCCAGCAATCCCATTACTGGGTATATACCCAAAGGATTATAAATCATGCTGCTATAAAGACACATGCACACATATGTTTATTGCAGCATTATTCACAATAGCAAAGACTTGGAACCAACCCAAATGTCCATCAATGATAGACGGGATTAGGAAAATGTGGCACATATACACCATGGAATTGCTATGCAGCCATAAAAAAGGATGAGTTCATGTCCTTTGTAGGGGCATGGATGAAGCTGGAAACCATCATTCTGAGCAAACTATGGCATGGACAAAAATCCAAACACCACATGTTCTCACTCATAGGTGAGAATTGAACAATGAGAACGCTTGGACACAGGAGGGGGAATGTCACACACCGGGGCCTGTTGTAGGGTGGGGGGAGGGGGGAGGAATAGCATTAGGAGATATACCTAATGTAAATGATGAGTTAATGGGTGCAGCACACCAACATGGCACATCTATATATATGTAACAAACCTGCACGTTGTGCACATGTACCCTAGAACTTAAAGTATAAAAAAAAAAGTCACATTCATCATACCAGGTTATCCCTGGATGACAGGATTATGATTGGCGATTTTTTTTCTCAATGTCT